>NT_167244.2:1649073-1786680 GCF_000001405.40 Homo sapiens
GGCCAAAATTCAAAAGTCTGAAAATACCAAGTACTGAGAGAATGTGAAGCAATAGGGACTCTGCACTGCTTGGTGGAGCTGCTGTGAGCTGATACTAGGGAGAATGAATGGATCTGGGAACAGAGATTAACATGTAAATAGTTCTCTTTGACACTGAAAGGGTCTGTTCAGGTGCGAGTACACTCTGGGTCTAACAAGGGAGGGCAAGAAAAAACAACAGTTCTCTTTGGTGGGTGTAGATCTTAGGCAGATAAAGAAACTTCAACTTATTTGAGAGAGGAGGTAGGGGATGGGGAGGTCACAGAGAACTCTGGGTTTCTTCAGTTTACTATGCCACAGCACCATATTTTCGGGTATGAGTTCTGAGCCCCACAATGGCCATAAGCACTTAACCACAGACCTAGTGACGTATGTATAAAATATACACTAGATTCCAAAGACTTAGTATACAAAAGAACATAAAATATCTTATTTGTAATTGTTTAAAACTGATTACATGTTAAAATGATAATATTTTAAATATAATGGGTTAGGTTGGTAAAATAAAATATATTATTAAAGTTAATTTTAACTGTTTCTCTTTACCTTTTTTAATGCAGCTATAATTAGAAAACCACAAATCATATAAGCGGCTTGCATTATATTTCCTTTTTTGAGACAGAGTCTTGATGTCACCCAGTTTGGAGTACAGTCGCGCGATCTGGGCTTACTGCAACCTCTGCCTCCCGGGTTCAAGCGATTCTCCTGCCTCAGCCTCCCAAGTAGCTGGAATGAATTACAGGCATGAGCCACCAGGCCTGGCTAATTTTTTTGTATTTTTAGTAGAGATGAGGTTTTGCCATGTTGGCTAGGCTGGTCTCAAACCCCTGACCTCAAGTGATTAACCTGCCTTGGCCTCCCAAAGTACTGGCATTACAGACGTGAGCCACCGCACCTGGCTCGCTTCCATTATATTTCTATTGGACAGCACTGCTCTGGAGAAAAATTAAGATTCTCCTTTTACAGGATATTTTTAAAAAATATTTAAATGTAAGGAATAAAAAATATTGTAAGAAACCGAAGAAAGCAAATTAGAATCTGGAGGTCAGGATGGATTTCTTAATGAGGACAGGTAGGGGTGTGTGTGTGTGTGTGCGTTTGCATGCATGGACACACGGATAGGGCAAGCACACATACATGTGTGCATATGTATGAGACTGATAAACAATCCAATAGGAAAAATGGGCAAAGGATAGAATTGAAAATGCACAGAAAATCTGAATGGCAAACAGTAACATAATCAAAATTACTAAAGGAAGAGAAAATTAAAAGTAACTAAGACTTCTCTTTATTGGCTGGGAAAAAAATAAAAACATAAATAATATGTATCTTTGCTGGGCAAGTGGGAAGGGAGCAGGATCATACATTGTTGTAAGGAAATGTAAAGGTTAACAGCCTACTGAGAAAGCAATATGGCAACATCCATCAAATTAGAAACATGCCATATCCTTCGACCCAGAAACCTTTCTCACAAAAATCTACCAGCACATGACATGTGTTCAGAAAGTTATTATTGTAATACTGTGTAGCAGAAAAAAAGAGGAAACTAAGTATCAATAGGAAATGAAGTAAATGCCTATCTACTGACAAAAGGTTAAAAACATTACCTGCAAAACAAGACCTGTTATGGAATTATTAAGGATTATAAATAAAAATATCAGCAAATTTTTAAAAATATGAAAATATCAGGAATGGCACCACTGTAGGAAAACAGACTACAGTAGTTCCCTCTTATTCTTGGGAGATATGTTCCAAGATCCCCGGTGGATGTCTGAAACCACTGATAGTACTGAACCCGATTGCTGTTAATAGGAAGTTTTTTTTGGTGATGTTTCCCACCCACAATTTTAATGACTTTTCTATCTTAACCAAGTGCTTAACATGCACTGTGGCTGCAACTTTTCCATTTTGAAGTGTGACAGTAAAACTAGCAAAAATTTCTTTTTCCTCCTTTATAATTTCAGGGATAGAAGATTTGTTCTGACCATGGATCTTAGCAAACTCAGCATTTAAAAAATTTCCTTAAGTCAAGAACTTTTACCTTTTCACTTAAAAGAAGCACTTTATGGCTTCTCTTTTGTATATCCAAGTTGCCATCATTAGTACTCCTGCACTTTGGGGCCACTGTCATGTAAAATAAGGGTTCCATGAATATAAGCACTGTGATACTTAGGCAGTAAAATTGATAAGAAGGCTATTAAGTGACTAATAGGCAGGCTGCATATACACTGTGGATACTGGGCAAAGGGATGATGCAAATCCTGGGGAGGGATGGAGTGGTATGGCATGAGATTTCATCATGTTCATCAGAATGGTGCAGCGCCCAATTTAAAACAGGAATTGTTTAGGTGCCAATTTAAAACTTAGGAATTATTTCTGATATTTTCCACTTAAAATATTCAGACTGTGGTTGCCAAGAGTAATGAAACCTTGAGAAATGAAACCGAGGATAAGGGGAGGACTACTGTATTTCATGATATGCTGGTGTGGATAAAAATAGGTGCAACCTTACTGAAGTTGACCATGAGGTTGATCACCTGTTGACCACTGAATAGGCCCCACAGACAAAAGCTCCTGATCTGAGGAATTTCGAAGGGAACAAAGACCACCTGGTGACCACCAAACGGGCCAGACAGAGGCGAAACTCCTTTTCTGGGAATTCAGAAGTAATTAAACTTTCCTAGTATCTAAAGTCTGGTTCCAGGCCTCTTTCAACTTTTACAAGTAACTAAAATTTATATACATCTCTGAAATGCCATGCCGAAACTCTTTTTACTATCCTAAGCTCCTGCCTTAAGGTCCATAAATACCTCTAAAGAAAAATCCATGGCAGCACACTTAGTCCTCTTGCTGAGGCGCCCCACTGCACTCTTCTGCAGTGTTCTGTTACCGCCTAAGGGGTTCACCTTGCCCATGCCTAGACAGAGTCAATTCATCGAGACAGGGGAATTGTGATAGAGAAAGAGTACTTCACGCAGAACCAGCTGTGTGGGAGATCAGTCTCCCCGAGCACGGGGGAGCAGAGTTTTAAAAGATAACTTCGTGGGTGGGGGGAAGCCAGTGAGCCAGAAGTGCTGATTGGTCAGGGATGAAACTGTAGGGAATCAAAACCGTCTTCCTGCACTGAGTCAGTTCCTGGGTGGGGGCCACATAATCAGATGAGCCACTTTGGGCAGCCAAAGTGAGTGGATCACCGGAGGTCGGGAATTGGAAACCAGCCTGGCCAACATTGTGAAACCCTGTCTCTACTAAAAAACAAAAAAAAAAAAACAAACAGAAAAAGCCAGGCGTGATGGCAGGTGCCTGTAATCCCAGCTACTCGAGAGGCTGAGACAGGAGAATCACTTGAATCCGGGAGGCGGAGGTTGCAGTGAGCCGAGATCGTGCCATTTGCACTCCAGCCTGGGCGACAAGAGCAAGACTCCGTCTCCAAAAAAAAAAAAAAAAAAAAAAAAAGAGCCAGTTTATTGATGTGGGTAGTGCCAGCTGACCCATCAAGTACGGGGTCTGCAAAATACCTCAAGCACTGATCACAGGAGCAGTTTAGGGAGGGTCAGAATCTTGCAGCCTCCAGCTGCATGACTACTAAACCAAAAATTCTAATCCTGTGGCTAATGTTAGTCTAGTCCTCAGACAAGAAGGAAGTCTGCTTTGGGAAAGGGCTGTTACCCTCTTTGTTTATAAACTAAGTTTCTCCCAAAGTTAGTTCAGCCTACGCCCAGGAATGAACAAGAACAGCTTGGAGCTTAGAAGCAAGATGGAGTCGGTTACGTTAGATTTCTTTCACTGTCTCAGTCATCATTTTGCAAAGGCTGTTTCAGTTCTTCCTTTCTAATAAACTTTCCTTTTTTCAAACCTATACTGTTTGTAGGTATGGTAAATTCATTTTACCAACCTGCGAGTTGACCACTTCCCGGTGCCAGGGCTCTGACACCTTGCCAGGCACTTACGGAAAGATAATTGTAAAAATCTAATAGAATTTTAAATTTCCATGCCTTCGAACCCAGCAGCCAAACTTCCAGAAATTTATCCTACTAATATAATGGCACGACGATCTAAAGAGATATGTACAAGGATGTTCTCGACAGCCTTTATTTAATAAGATGTGGAAAGAACCTTAAATGTCTACTCAAAATTGTTGAATAAATCACATGTCTACAAAATGAATAATGCAGACTTTAAAAAGAGTGAGGTAGCTCTATGTCACCAAACTGGAACAATAAAAGCCACTATAAAGTATAAAAAGCAAGCTGAAGACTGTCTCTATGTTTGAAATTTTTCATAATAAAAAATGAAAAAAATGGAGGGGGATTAGATATATTGCCTTTTCATGAGTAAGAATCTCACAAGTCTTGGACAATTAAACCCCGCCTTCATCCCTCCCATCTCATCATATCTGACCTCAACCAGTTTCCTACCTACACTGCTTATATGCCCATTTGCTCTATATGACTCAGTCATTTCAAGATTGCTTCTGTTTTCCCTTATTGATATAAAAATATTAAAAATGTATATTTAAAATTTGTTTAATTACATCCCATTATTACAGTTCATTTTTGCATATTCCTGTGTTGAAAATCCTTTGGTATAAATCAACATCAAAACTCGGTGTTATTCCACTTTTCTTGAACTGTAATCCTTTTTAAACAAGGAATATACCTTTTCTTGTTTAGAGAATATACGTACATTCATAAATCTTGGCAACTTTCAAAGGCCATAACAAATTTGTGTTAAGAATTCAGATCCCCTTTATTATTGTGGTAAACAGACAGATGAAATTAAGAGATTATAGCTTGTTTTCACTCTCTCCCAATTACTATCGCTTGAAAAATACCGGATATTTCATTATTATCCTGTCCGGAGTCGGCAAACTACGGTCTACTATCTGTCTTCGTATACGTCAAAAGCTAAGAATGGTTTTTACATTTTTAAATGACTGGGGAGGGAGGGCCAGAATCCAAGGGGAGTATTTAATGACACTTGAAAATGTTATTAAATTCAAATTTTAGCATCCATAATAAAGTTTCATTGGAACACAGCCATGCTCATTTAGCTTTTGTTTGTTTTTGGAGACAGAGTCTCGCTCTGTCGCCCAGGCTGGAGTGCAGTGGCGAGATCTCGGCTCACTGCAACCTCTGCCTCCTGCTTTCAAGCCATTCTCCTGCCTCCGCCTTCCAGGTAGCTGGGATTACAGGTGCACGCCACACGCGCCACACGCCCGGCTAATTTTTGTCTCTACTAAAAAGTAGAGACAGGGTTTCGCTATGTTGGCCAGGCTGGTCTCAAACTCCTGACCTCAGGTGATCCACCCGCCTCGGCCTCCCAAAGTGATAGGATTACAGGCGTGAGCCACCGCGCCCAGCCTTCATTTAGTACTGTCTAATGATGTTTTCATACTGCAAGGAGAAAGCTGAGTATGGACCACAAGGCCAAAAAGATGTCCTCTCTGGCTCTCTACAGCAAAGATTTGCCAAGCCCTGTTATATGTCATACTACTTGCGCTTCATAATTTTATAGTTTTACCTAGACAGTCTCCCTTTTTTCCTTCCATATTCAGCATAAAATCCCCTTAATATCAGTCTCTAGGCAAGCACATTCTTCACAGTCCTTAGAACTGGACCTCCTCTTGTTAATTTCCTTAGTCTAATCACATTCCTCCTGGTTATCTACAAACAGAAAGCCAGAAAGGAGGGCTATCAACATCTTAAGCGCCACAAATTAACAAATCAAAACCAAATCTCTCTCTCCCTCCGAAGCCACGGCTAAGGAGGCTCACTGCCCAGTTAGTGGCTTTCAAACTACCCTTACAAGTGAGACATCTTGTGAATTAGAACAAGTGCTGCTGCTAAAATCCCTAACGGCTACATAGCAATGTGAAAAAAGGTATCAAATGTAATTTTCTCAAATTTAATCTTCTTCAATTCTTGGCACAAAAAAAGGAACAGTAAAGGTAGACAACTGTAATTAGCATGTGTGATCCCAAATCTTTATACCTTAGATACTGGATTATATTTTCAGCAAGTAAATAGTTTCTGGCTCCCAAGATGAGAGGTTAAATAATGCAGGGTGTTTGTAAACAGCAGCACAATTTACACCGGAAATTAGGGCCCTTTCTCACCGAGGAGAGTACAGCAAAATCTGCTCATCTCTTTCAATGAATATTCTCCATGACTAGTGCTGGCGGCTGGGAGGCGGAGCAAGCTATCTTTTCTACCAGCCGTGTCACACCCCTCCTAGCACTAACCCCTCCTCCTCAGCCTTTTCACACCTCTACCCACTACTAGCCCCTCCCCAGCCCCATCACCTCTTCCCGGGCCCCTCACACCTCTCCCAGCATACTCTTCCCCAGCCTCATCACCTCACCCACTTCCTCCAAAATCACTGACCTGCTAAGCTTCCAGCAGCAGGCGGGCAAAGCAGGGAGGCTGTAATGCAAAAGTCCGCAGTCCCTACACAAACACTATCTGCTCCTGCGGAGAAACTCAAGTCACAGCCCCAGAAGTGGAAAGAACAGGCCTTGGCTCTCACCCAGTTAACAAGCGTTTATCCAGCGCACGTGTTGCGGTCGGACCCCATGCGAAGGAGCTAAGGACACAAAGGTGAGCAGCAGAGACGCGGTTCCAGCTCTCCCCCGGCTCCCACTCCAGCGGGATAGGTAGATAATTTCGGTAAATTTCGCCAAGCAGGGGCAGGACAAAGAGTATTTGAAGTCTACCGCGGGGAGAACTTACCTAATCCTTGAATGTTAAAAGGCTAAAAACTCCACTAGTCGGAAGTGACGTGCCAGCTTAGCCCCGCAGGTCCGCCACGTAATTGGCCGCCGCCACAGCTAGCCACCCTCTCCCCAGACTGGCCCGAAGAGAGGAAAAGTGTGGAAGTCCACAAGCCGCCCCCGCCCCGCCCTCTTCGTCGACTTTCAGCTGCACCGGGAGGCGGCGGCGCCTGGCCAGAGCCGGGGCCTGGAGCCTGGACTAGACAGCCTCGCCGGCCGGGGCGCCAGTCCAGCGCCCTGCGGGCAATGGGCTTCAGCGCTCGAGCACGCGCATGCGCGGGCCTGTATCTCCAGAGGATTCCTCGGGTCACCTGGACGCCAGCATCTCAGCCACCTGCCCCTCTGGGTCCCTTCTTGCCCTTGATTCCCCCTGCTGCTTCTCATCGCCAGCCCTCCTCCTCCTTCTTCCGCAGGCACCGCTAGACCCGGCCGCGGCCGCCCGCCGACACCCCAGCTTCCACTGACACGAGCCTCGGCGCGGCTTCCGCTTCCGGCGAGTATTGTGTGTCGCGCCGCGGGGCGGGGGCGAGGGGAGGAGGAAGGAGGGAGGCAGCGCTCCGGCGGCTCCGCGCCCCGCACTCCCGGACCCGAAGCCGGGAAGGTAGGTGCTGTCCCGCCGCCGCGCCCGAGCCTGGGGCCTGCGCTCGCCGGCCGGCTCCGCAAGCCGCGTCCCAGCGCCCCGCGACTGCGTCACCGGCCCCCCGCACGTAACCACAGCTGCCTCCGCCCGCCTCGGGCCCGGGCGGACGTTTTGCCGCCCCGGCGACGTCAGCGCGTCCGGCGTTGCTTGGCTACCCCGCCGTTCCCCCGTCCCGCTGCTGCTCACCTCCCCGGGTGAAACTCTGACGCAGTCACCGCGGGTCTCGGCAGCGTCATAGCGGCGGGCATCCCATCTGCACGTCACACCTCTTTCTCACCTGGACACGCATCCCTTCCTACCCTGCCAGCCACGACGTTTCCTCTTTCCCCTCTCCAATGCCCCAGCCCCAGATCTGGCGGAAGAAGATGGAGAACGGGGGTGGGACAGAGTTGTGGACAACCTCTCAGGAGAGGGTCGCAAGGTGGGACCCTGAACAGTGGTAGAAACAAAATGAGATTGTCCCTGAAGTTTGCCCTTCAGCTGAGACACAAGGAGTAGAGGAAGAGGAAGGACTAACGCAGAGGCACTCAAGGTCTCACTATGACTGTAGTTGAGAGTCCTCTCCCTTCTTCCCTAACCCTTTCCCCATTTCTCTCACCACTTCTTTGCCAGTCTAGATCCGTCCTGGTGCCTTACTGTGCATACAGTTCTACTCGTCTCAGGTGAGGAGGCCACTTAATTTGTAAAAGACTGAGGAAGGGGTAGGATCACCACAAGTCAAAGTTGGATTCCCACAGATAGAAATCATCTGACTGAACTTCTCTCCTATTGCTGACAGAAGAAATTCAAATCCAAAGAAGTTATCAGTTCCTACTCCAAATCAAACACATTTGTGTGTGCCAACAATATATACAGGAACAATTGTTGTTAACCTACCTCATTACATGGCCACTTATCTCTCAGCACATAGATCTACCAAATTTCCTTCCTTCCAGTAGGTCCCTGGAGAAGGATGGGGGTCGGGAGGAGAAAAGGTTATGGGGATAGTTAAATCAACTTACCCATGGCTAAAAGTATGGATGTTTTAAGGATGGAGTAGGGGGCCAGCCTTGTGTTTTATAAATCTCTCCTATGCATTTCCAATTCTTCTGAGGCTGCGCTTGAGGGAGATCTCATTGCCTCTTTTGTGTCTCTTAATTCGCAACCACTCCAGGACCTATAAGTTGGAGACACACTATGCCCAGGGTGTTAGTTATCAATAGCTATATTGAAAGATTCCAGTCACTACAAATAGACTCGTTGCTCTCTTTTCAAGAAGTTGTTGGCCTGAGCTCAGCAATATTTAATATGGTTGCCATAATTTATCAGTTTTCAGCAGTTCTGAGTGTCCAGATGAACACAAGAGAAATGGAATGTTGCGTGAAATGTCATTCCAAGAAGAGAGCAGATTTCCTTTAGGCTAGTCTGATGGATAAAAGGAAGAATAATTTCAGATTTTCCTGAAAAGAGGAGGTTGCCTTTGCCTCATTCATTCCATTTGTTAGCCTTTAGAGCAGTGGTATCTAACCCTTTCAATATGAGGACTCTCTTTGCTTATCTGTGGTGGCTGATAAAAATTATGCATGGACCTTCTGTGGTGGTGATAGAACAAAAGTTATGCATGGACTTTTTTTTTTTTAAGCTTATCAGCTGTCATTAGTGTCAATGTATTTTATGTCTGGCCCAAGACACTTCTTCCAGTGGGCCCAGGGAAGCCAAAAGGTTGGATATTGTGATTTAGAAGAATGAGAGAACAGTGTCAGAGAATCAAGCTTAGACTCCAGTGGATTAATCATAAAGCTCTTATAACATTAAACTTTAAAATATGGTTAATTTAAGAAATGTTAATATTTTTATGACATTTTTTACTTCTCAGATTCCTTTCTTGTCTGTTAGAAACGTATGTCAAACGAGGATACAGTGTCTGGAACTATTGGTTCTAAGATATAAGTGGAATGAGCCTGGATCAGGAGAAGTATGCTGAGCTAGAGTTGAAGGAAGCTTCTCTTTCTAACAAGAGAAAGCAGAGGTAAGAGACAAGATAGATCAATTGGGGGTTGTGTGTCAGTTTACTAACAAGAAAAAAAAGGTTGATGGCTGGGAGTCACAAGTTTTGAAAATGGAGAAACAAAGAGGTTGAATTGATTGGAAGAGAAGATGGAGAATAACAAGAAGGGGCAAATCTGGAGTTAGGACTTAACATAGGGATAAATGTCGGGTCAGGGATGCAAAAAAAAAAAAAAGAAAAAACCTCCAATTAATATTTTTATTTTCTCTGTCCTCTTCCCCACTCCCAAGTTAAATTATGGCAGAGACAAGTCTGTTAGAGGCTGGGGCCTCTGCAGCCTCTACAGCTGCGGCTTTGGAGAACTTACAGGTGGAGGCGAGCTGCTCTGTGTGCCTGGAGTATCTGAAGGAACCTGTCATCATTGAGTGTGGGCACAACTTCTGCAAAGCTTGCATCACCCGCTGGTGGGAGGACCTAGAGAGGGACTTCCCTTGTCCTGTCTGTCGAAAGACATCCCGCTACCGCAGTCTCCGACCTAATCGGCAACTAGGCAGTATGGTGGAAATTGCCAAGCAGCTCCAGGCCGTCAAGCGGAAGATCCGGGATGAGAGCCTCTGCCCCCAACACCATGAGGCCCTCAGCCTTTTCTGTTATGAGGACCAGGAGGCTGTATGCTTGATATGTGCAATTTCCCACACCCACCGGGCCCACACCGTTGTGCCACTGGACGATGCTACACAGGAGTACAAGGTGGGGAAGCAGACACACGATGTCAGTGTGGGTAAAAAGGGAGAAGCGGCAGAGGATGAGATACTCCCTAGGTAGAGATCGTAAGCTCCTACTACTCACTTTGTATTCTCAGAGCTGCATATGCAGGGGCACACAGTATGTGTGATCAGTTGTCCTCTAGCCTGAAAAAGAGCAATGGTGAGAAGTGCCCTAAAATTTCTCTCTGACTTTTGCAATACATGTGAGTCTTATGGGTGAATATTGGTATGTGTGGTCATATTTTTCATAAATGAATGAAACCACATGGAAAAGATTAAACTTAGGAAGAACTGAAAAGTAGTCTGGTTTCTTCATTCTGCCTGCCTGCTCAGAATGCTCCTTGTTTTCACACTGGTTATTGGGCATAGGTAATATCGCTTGAGACTGATACCTACCGGACTAAGCTGAACCATTCAATTGTTTGCAGCTTCTCTAGGTAATGGGTAACATGGCATATCATTTAACTTACTGCTGAGACAAAGGAAAATGTTTGAATAAAGGGAACAGAGATATGAATGTGTTAGCATTTTATCATATACTTTGCTTAGTTATGTTACTCTTGAAAACAAGATTTCAGGTAACTTACAGTATAATAACCATGTTTTTATTGTAGGTGGACAGAGGTGGATGGGAGGACAGGTTTAAAGAGAGATATTAGGGTACAGAAGGTTGCTTGGATGGTAATAGGCAGTTGCCTCAGTAAGAAAATGGAAAGAGTTGAGAAAGGACACAGAGTTGATGACAGCTATCTCAGATTCAGTAAAAGGACAGTTGGGTGAGCAGAGAAGGTGATGTGGACAGGCTAGTGGCAGGAGGAGGGACTGTAGAAAGTTGACATCCCAAATGACAGGCAAGGAAGGAAGTCAGATCAAGAGGCAGTAAGATGGCTAGGAAGCAAATAAATGGTTTAAAACAAATGGTTTAATCTCTGAATGGTAGGTATACCAGTCAACCCCAAATGTCACCTCTCCCACTTCCTCCCTACCCCTCAGGAAAAACTGCAGAAGTGTCTGGAGCCCCTGGAACAGAAGCTGCAGGAGATCACTCGCTGCAAGTCCTCTGAGGAGAAGAAGCCTGGTGAGCTCAAGGTAAAGGCAGGCAATCCCATGTAGGCTGCTCTGAAGGGTATTTGCCTATGAGGGAATTAACTGTACACTATTTAATCCACCAGTTCCGGTTCATTAGAAAAATGCAGTTCTCGCCGGACATGGTGGCTCACACCTGTAATCCCAGCAATTCTGGAGGCCAAGGTGGGCAGATTGCTTGAGCTCAGGAGTTTGAGACCACCCTGGGCAACATGGTGAAACCCTGTCTTTACTAAAAACAAAAAATTAGCCGGGCATGGTGGCACATGCCTGTAGTCCCAGCGACTTGGGCGGCTGAGGCAGGAGAATTGCTTGAACCTGGGAGGCGGAGGTTGCAGTGAGCCAAGATCACACCATTGTACTCCAGCCTGGGCAACAGAGCAAGGCTCTGTCTCAAACAAACAAAAAAAACAAAAAAAAAAAAAGAAAGAACAATGTAGTTCTCTCAAAAATGATGGCATTTTATTAGGCTTGATTGTCATTAAACATTGTACTTAAATTACTTGTCATGAATTAAGTATTAAGAGGGATTTAAGAGATGAAGAACAGACAGAATATCTTACATCTGGTGAGCTGAGAGAGTTCGTGCCTCTTGGTCTCCTTTTTTTGTTAAAGCAGCAAAGGAGGCTTTCTGCTGAGAAGGCAGGGATGGGAGTTTCTTAGAGGACTTGAAGAGAGGAGAATATGGAAGATTCACTGGGGAGAAAGGGAAAAGGAGCTGACCAAGAGTCTCAGAAGAACTATCTAATGACATTAGGACCACATTCTTAAAACTCAAGTAAGCTTACATATGCTAGAATGTTCTCCCCCTCCCCATCCTCCACCATAGGATCTTATTCATCTCTCAGGCGGGATGAAAGCCACTTCCTATGCAGCCTTTCCTGACCCTTCAGAAATTAACATTCTTAATTTTCATACAATTTTGCACCTCTTTTATAGCATTGCCTTATTTGTAGCATGGTATTTTGGTGTCTGTCTGTCTTCCATTGAACAGTGAACAATTATCATTTGTAGCAAAAATAACTAGAATTGAGTCCTATGCATTAATTCATTAGGTATCCGTAACATTCCAGATTTATAGGGTTGTTAGGGTCTTAGAGTTCAGGCCAAATTGGGATAAGTGAGACATAGAAAAGCTACGAGAAAGAGACAGAAGGAAATCCTGAGGCCATCTTTAGTAAGATGTAGGGGTAAACCTAGATATTCTTTAAGGTAGGTATTATTACCTTCAGCTTACACAGAAGGAAATGGACCTTGGGTAAGTGACTAGTCCAAGATCATAAAGCCAGTAAGTGGCAAAACCAGGAATACTAGTTCTTCGTGAATCAGTAAATATTTGTTAAGCTCCTGGTTTAGGCCAAACCCGGTATTTGACACTGGGGAACAATGATGAGCAAAAACACAGTTCCTGCCCTCCTTGAGCTTAAAGTTAAGTGGAGAAAATAAGTAATGGCACAAAATGCACAGCTGCAAGTTCATAAGAAGACAACATAGAAATTTGGCCTCATTAAAGGTTTCCCGAAGAAGTAATGAGTTTTTAAGAGTTGACATGTAGAGATCACCAGAAGCTAAATCCAAGTTTTGATTCATAGAAACATGAATTTTTAAATGAATGATAACATTTCATCAGAAAGCAAGTATTATTACCTTAGTGCCTTATACATTTTAGCAAAGTAAGCATTTGAAATTTTAAAATTTGAACCAATTTTGGTTAGAAATGTGAACTTTTAAAGTTTTTTGTTCTTTTAGAGGCCTTCCAAGAAACCTAAAAATATGAAAATGGTGCTTATTGCTAGTCATTAACTTTCTTCTTCATGTTGATCACCTTCTTGAAGGTAAAGGATGGAGAGAGAAATATACCTTTTTAAAACCTTCTAAATGCTTGAACAGAACTGTCCTGTTTTTTAAACTGTAAATTGTCATTTCAGTGGTCTCCAAAACTACCACCAACATTCCTCTTGTGACCATTTGAATTCTCCCTCCTTCTCCCTCATCAGACTCAATGCCCCTTTAAAAAATAATTTGTAATTATGCTGAACTGAAAATTACAGGTAATATAACCTATGTGCATAATGTTAAATTTTAAAGAGTCTATCATGTCCAAATATAATATAATGAAACATAATTGATGATAAAATGTGGTATGTAATATTTGGGCATGACTACCCTGAACGACTTTACAGTGTAGCTGGTTATATGCTTGCCCCTATATGTGTCATTATCAGCAACGCCATAAATACAAATTCAGACTGAGATGGATGTGTGCCAATATGATTGAAATACCATAAGTAGCTTAGCTCTTGGTGATATGATTTTTCATAGTAATAACTTTTGGTAAAGTTCTAAGTATAACAATATAATCTTGGGTTTTATTCAGCTATTGCTGAAAAATTCACGTATAGTAAAACCATGTAAGAATTACTCTGTGTTTATACTATATAAAATGGCATTCAAGCCCAGGCCTATGTTTTTGTTTTTGTGGTTTTTTTTTTTTTTTTTTTTTGAGACGGCGTCTCGCTCTGTCATCCAGGCTGGAGTGCAGTGGTGCCATCTCGGCTCACTGCAAGCTCTGCCTCCCGGGTTCATGCCATTCTCCTGCCTCAGCCTCCCAAGTACCTGGGACTACAGGCGCCCACCACCACACCCAGCTGATTTTTTTTTTCTATTTTTAGTAGAGACAGGGTTTCACCGTGTTATCCAGGATGGTCTCGATCTCCTGACCTTGTGATCTGCCCACCTCGGCCTCCCAAAGTGCTGGGATTACAGGCGTGAGCCACCGTGCCTGGCCGCCCAGGCCTGTGTTTTTGAATATCCAGCAGAACATTAGAAAATGTTGCAGGTCAGTTCACTATGCCGGATTGTCTCACACATTGGAGGAGTGCTTGCGTCATTGTCAGGAACTTCCCCAACCATGGAAAACAAGAAGATGTGCCTATTTCCAAAATATCCTTAGAGTGTGTTAACAGCTTCATCAAGAACCACTGCCCTAAAATATAGAGTGAAAAAAAGAGAAAAGATTACCGGTTTATAAGAGGAAGGGCCTTTTTGCTTCCTATTTATCACAGTCATGAATGTTAAACTTACACCCATACCTAAACAAACACACATGCATGCACACACATGTGCAAACACACACACACAAAGGCTGTGTTTTATTGAGGGCAAATGTGAGAATATATTTTGTTCAGATGTACACTGAGAAGGCAGTGGTGGAAAGTGAAGCAGCAAGTGGCCCTAAACTAGAAGAGCTAGTCAGCCTCTGCCAGGAACTAGCTTGAATCCACAAATGCCACGCTTGTCAGGCCCATCCTGGCTTTGCATCCCCACTCTCTCTCCACCCTCAAGCCTGCCTTTCATTCCCTATCCACTTCCTTCTAGAGTCCCAGTCTCTGCTTCTCACTTTGCTTCATCATCAGTCACATGATGCTTGGGGAATTCTTTCTTTAGGGAGATCACTATTTGTTGTAGTGGAGATGCAGAAGAGAGGATGTGCTGATAATTCTCAGAAAGTGTTATGGCTGGTGTTTGAGTCCTATATTATCAAATTTCAGGAATGTTAGAGGCTTAAGTCTGTGTGCTGGCTTAAAGAAAGCATGTTTCAAATTTCAAGAAACTAAATTACTAACAAACTTCTGTAACCTGTTCCTGGGGTAGGAATTGCCAGTTCTCTGAAGTGACTTGAAACAATTTAACAAGTTCAGCCCTGAAATCTACATATGTATATTTTATAATAACCCATATAACTCTTACTGATTCTTACACTTTCCCAGTTCTCTGGTTTTTATCTGGTGCATGTGTTGCAATATGCAAAGGATGACAATCTTATTTTTAACTTTTTATTATTTGTACTTTCCTTTTTGTTTCGTTGTTTTTTGTTTGCTTGTTTTGAGACAGAATCTCACTCACCCAGGCTGGAGGGCAGTAGTGATCACAGCACACTAACTCAAACTCCAGTGTTCAGGCCATCCATCCTCTTGATTCTTTTTGAGTAGCTAGGACTGCAGATGTGCATTGCCATGCCCGACTAATTTTTTTTTCTTTTTAGTTGAAACAAGGTCTCACTATGTTTCCTAGGTTGGTCTTGGCCTCAAGTGATCCTCTCACCTGGGCCTCCTAAGCACTAAGTTTACAGGCATGAGCCACCATGCTGAGCCTATACTTTCCTTTTCTCGACAGATTGAATTAACTAGAACTTTACAGTTGATAATAACACAGATATCTCTGATATCTGTAATAGTTAATGTCATCATATTATTGAGTTCTTTATCTTAAATTAAAACAAATATATATATCCGCAGTGGTCTTCACTACCAAGTCATCAGTAGGGGGGTGATAGTGATGGAGCCATTCTTTACAGAAGGAAATTCCAATGGAATAAAAAATGAGTGTTCTGTTAAACCATTTTCTCTCATTTTCTTTCTTTCTTTTCTTTCTGTCTTTGTCTTTCTGTCTTTCTTTCCTGTCTGTCTGTCTTTCATCTCGATCTGTTGCCCAAGCTGGAGTGCAATGGTGCAACAATTTCAGCTTACTCCAACCTCTGCCTTCTTTGCTCAAGCCATCATCCCACCTCAGCCTCTCCAGTAGCTGGGACTACAGGCATGCACCACCAGACTCAGCTAATTTTTTGTATTTTTTGTAGAGTTGGGGTTTCACCATGTTACCTAGGCTGGTCTCAAACTTCTCATCCCAAGCAATCCACCTCCCTCGGCCTCCCAAAGTCCTTGGATTACAGTCATGTGTCACCACACCCAGCCTTTGTTAAACCATTTTCAATGAAACTGGAAGTCTGTGTTAATTCATACATATGGTGGGTGAGAGAAAGGCTTCCTTATACCACACTGACCCTGCTGATACAACATCTTCCCTCTCTTCTCAGAGACTAGTGGAAAGTCGCCGACAGCAGATCTTGAGGGAGTTTGAAGAGCTTCATAGGCGGCTGGATGAAGAGCAGCAGGTGTTGCTTTCACGACTGGAAGAAGAGGAACAGGACATTCTGCAGCGACTCCGAGAAAATGCTGCTCACCTTGGGGACAAGCGCCGGGACCTGGCCCACTTGGCTGCCGAGGTGGAGGGCAAGTGCTTACAGTCAGGCTTCGAGATGCTTAAGGTTCGACCTTTGCCCCTGCATAGCCCCTCAGGCTGAGTGCAGCGTAGCTTTGCGTAGCCTGGGATTTGTCAGCCTGGGATACTCATTCTTCTGCTCTCCTTCTCTAAATCCAGTTCTTTCTGCCAGGTGTACTCAAAGGGTCTTTGCTACGGAAAAGTGATTTCTCCCATCCCCTTCTAACCATTTTTGTGTTCTTATCTCTGGTCAGCAATTATGTGCTTAATCTGTTCCAAAGAAAAGATTCATTCTTTTGAAAGGAGGGAAGTCTAGCCTGAGTTAGTGAAAAACTATGCATTAAAAATTTTGTAAATGCAGTTACCATTACTTTTAAGTCCTGAAATTTGATTTATGTACTGCTGAAAAAGGACAGAAACATAGTTTAAAGGATACAGGCATACCTCAGAGATATTGTGGGTTCAGTTCCATACCACTTCAATAAAGCGAGTATCTTGATAAAGCAAGTCACATTAATTGTTGGGTTTCCTAGTGGAATCATATTTTTGCTGGTGGAGGGTCTTGTGTTAGTATTGACTGATCGAGGTGGTGGTTGCTGAAGATTGGGGTGACTGTGGTAATTTCTTAAAATAAGACAACGACGAAGTTTACTTTCAACTCTTCCTTTTATGAAAGATATCTCTGAGCATGTGATGCTGTTTAATAGCATTTTACTCACCAGTAGAACTTCTTTGAAAATCTTTGAAAACCCACATTTGCAGTTACTTACAACATGGGAGTCTTGAACCCCTAAAAGTCATCCATAAGGGTTGGAATAGACTTCTTCTAAATGCCTGTTAATATTGATATTTTGGCTTCCTTTCACAAATCACAAATGTTCTTAATGGCATCTAGAATGGTGAATCCTTACCAGAAAGCCTTCAATTTACTTTGCCTAGATCTATCAGAAAAATCACTATTTATAGCAGCTTTATGAAATACATTTATTAAGACTTGAAAGTCCAAATTACTTCTTGATCCATGGGCTGCCGATTGGATGTTGTGTTAGCGGACGTGAAAACAACATGAATCTCATTTTACATCTCTATCAGAACTTTTGGGTGATCAAGTGCATTGTCAGTGAGCAGTAATATTTTGAAAGGAATCTTTTTTTCTGAGCAGTAGGTCTCAACTTAAAATTTTCAGTAAAGGGTTGGGCACGGTGGCTTACACCTGTAATCCTATCACTTTGGGAGGCCAAGGCAGGTGGATCACCTGAGGTCAGGAGTTTGAGACCAGCCTGGCCAACATGGTGAAGCCCAATCTCTACTAAAAATACAAAAAAATTAGCTGGGCATGGTGGTGGGCGCCTGTAATCCCAGCTACTCGGGAGGCTGAGGGAGGAGAATCGCTTGAACCCGAGAGGCAGAGGTTGCAGTGAGCCAAGATCATGCAGTTGCACTCCTGCCTGGGTGACAAGAGTGAAACTCCATCCCCCCAAAAAAAACTTCAGTAAAGGCTAGGCACGTTGGCTCACATCTGTAATCCCAGCACTCTGAGAGATCAAGCCAGGAGGACTGCTTAAGGCCAGGAATTCAAGACCAGTCTGGGCAATATAGCAGGACCCCATCTCTACAAAAGGTAATTTTTTTTAATTAAAAACATTCAGTATACCATGCTGTATACAGGTGTACTGTCATGTAGGCTTTGTTATTCCATTTCTAGAGCACAAGGAAAGTAGATTTAGCATAATTCTTAAGAGCCCTAGGATTTTTGAAATGGTAAGTGAGCACTGGTTTCAACTTAAAGTCACCAGCTGCCCTTGCTTCTAATAAGAAAGTCATCCTGTCCTTTGAAGCTTTAAAGCCAGGCATTGACTTCTCTCGAACTGTGAAAGCCCTGGATAGCACCTTCTTCAATAGAAGGCTGTTTGTTGACATTGAAAATGTGTTGTTTAGTGTAGCCACCTTCATCAGTAATCTTGGCAAGATCTTCTGGATAACTTGCTGCAACTTCTGCATCAGCACTTGCTGCTTCTCCTTGCACATTTTTGTTACAGAGATGGCTTCTTTTCTTAAAACAACCTACCTAACTTTAAACTTTTCTTCTGCAGCTTCCTTACCTCTCTCAGCTTTCATAGAACTGAAGGAGTTAACAGCCTTGCTCTGGATTGGGCTTTGGCTTAAGGGAATCATGTGATCTTATATCCAGATCACTAAAATTTTCTCCATCTCAGCAATAAAGCTGTTTCACTTTCTTATCATTCATGTGTTCACTGGAGTAGCACTTTTAATTTTCTTCAATAACTTTTCCTTAGCATTCACAGCCTGGCTTGGTGTTTGGCACAAGAGGCCTAGCTTTCAGCCCATCTTGGCTTTCAATGTGCCTTTCTCACTAAGCTTAAACATTTTTAGGTTTTGATTTAAAGTGAGAGACATGTGATTCTTCTTTCACATGAACACTTAGAGGCCATTGCAGGATTATTAATTGATATAATTTTAATATCGTTGTGTCTCGGAATAGGGAGGCCAGAGGAGATGGAGAAAGATGAGGGAATAGCTGGTAGTGGATCAGTTAGAACACATAAAATATATTTATCGATTAAGTTGTTCGTCTTATATGGATGCAGTTCACAGTGCCCCCATAACGATTACAATAGTAACATCAAAGATCACTGATCACAGATCATACTAGATATAATAATGAAAAAGTGTGAAATATTGTGAGAATTACCAAAATGTGACACAGAGACATGAAGTGAACACATGCTGTTGGAAAACATGGTGCCAGTAGACTTGCTCAACACAGGTTGCCACAAACCATCTATCTGAAAAACATACAATGTCAACAAAACACAATAAAGCGAAGTGCAATAAAATGAGGTATGCCTGAAATTGTTTAAATAATATATTGCTTTTGATATGTATATATTAATAATACCTCTAAAGTGTTTGAAATATTTTGTTCTCTTACGTAAATGAATGGTGTTAGCAAAACTAGGGAACATATTTTTTATCTTAGAGATTAGATTACCAGCATTTGAAGCAGTGAGGCTTCATTGTACATTTATTTTTATGTTACGTATTGCTTGGTATTTGTTCCTATGGCCTTTCATGTATGTGTGTTCTGCCTTCCATATTAAACTGGGAAATCCTTGTGGGACAGAGATTTGTCTTCTTTGTCTTCTGGACCCCAAGTATTCACAAATCAGTATTAGCACACAGTTATTAATGTGTTTATTCTTCCTTTTTTTTTTTTCTGAGAGAGTCTTGCTCTGTCGCCCAGGCTGGAGTGCAGTGCATGATCTCGGCTCACTGCAACCTTTGCCTCCTGTGTTCAAGCGATTCTCCTGCCTCAGCCTCCTGAGTAGCTGGGGTTACAGGCGCACACCACCACACCTGGCTAATTTTTGTATTTTTAGTAAAGACAGGGTTTCACCATGTTGGCTAGGCTGGTCTTGAACTCCTGACCTCAAGTGATCCACCCGTCTTGGCCTCCCAAAGCGCTCAGATTACAGGCGTGAGCTACTGTGCCCAGCCAGTTATTGATGTTTATTAACTAATGCAAGACAGGGGATACCAAACCGTAACAGGAATGTGTGATTTGTTCCTATGCCACCAGTCTGGAACTCTCTGTACTTATCCTCAAGGAGAGTGAGATATGTGGTTGGTACTTGGGGGACAGAGTAAAGAATTGATACAATCCCTGTCCCTTATAGGGAGCTCCCAGCATCCTTGAGGAGCAAAGACAAGCATAAAAGAAATCATTGGGAAGTGATATAAATGACCAAGCTTCATGATGACCAGAAGTTGAAAGTAGGGATTAGGTTGGGAGAAGTGCATTCAGGTCCCGCTGGAGCTCTTCTTGCACTGTGTGACCCTCAGTTTATCCTATCCCTATTTTATAGCTGTGGAACTTTGGGGAGGAGGGGGAACCTTTTGCCTTCAGGACCACTGAATACCAGGACCAATATTGCTTTCTTTTCTCCTTCCTTCTAGGATGTCAAAAGTACCCTGGAAAAGTAAGTGATTGTTGTATCTCTCTGAGTGAGTTAGGTCTTGGCTTAGAGAGGAGGGGTACAGTCAGGAGTTTGGGTTGGGGGTGAGGTTGGGAAAGTCATGTAGTGTGTCTGGGCAGGGTATGGGAGAATGTTCATTGTGCCCATGAAGCCAGTTAGAGAACAAATTATTGGGAATAATAATCCCTTTTCCCCTTTGAACATCAGGACTTCTTGAGAAGGAGAATGATAAGGTAGAATCAGATTCTACTTGTGCCAGTGGGTGGAATTGTGTCCAAACAAGATGGCAGGAGGAAGGGGTTGGGAGAGCAGGGAGGGCAATCATCCATTTGCATGAAATACAGGAATATTCCTAGAAAGTTCGGAGGCTCACTCTCAACGATCTGTCCACGGGATCATAAGGCTCTCCTTGGATTAGTAAAAGAAATCAACAGGTGAGCTTTTCAGGGAGGAGGAAGAAAGTGGGAAGATGGAGAATTTTAATTTCTCCCTAAAAATGTTAACATCTGAATAGTCACTTGGCTGGAGCTTCTCCCTAACCCTGCCCTTTCTTCCCCTATCTCCCTATCCCTCCTAGATGTGAAAAGGTGAAGACCATGGAGGTGACTTCAGTATCCATAGAGCTGGAAAAGAACTTCAGCAATTTTCCCCGACAGTACTTTGCCCTAAGGAAAATCCTTAAACAGCTAATTGGTGAGTTGTTCCCAAAAGGAAACTAGAAGAAACCACTAGAGAGAAGAAAGTTTTTAGGTCCTACCTTATATGGGTTTCAGTTATCCTATGTCTCACTTTTCTTACTCCCACACACACCTACCCCTTTATCTGGCTTTTAGTCTCACCCTGAGTCACAGAACTTGGAGTGAGAGGAAGCCTTAAGCGTTATCTACTCTTAGGTCCATTCTTTTCTAAATAGAGACCCAGAAAGGTTAAATAATTTGCCAAAGTCATCGGGTAGAGTGGTTATATAATTTACCATGTAAACTTGCATAACCTTCAAAGGCCGGGTGCGGTGGCTCACATCTGTAATCCTAGCACTTTGGGAGGCCAAGGCTGGTGGATCACTTGAGGTCAGGAGTTCGACATCAGCCTGGCCAACACGGTGAAACCCCATCTCTACTAAAAATATAAAAATTAGCCAGATGTGGTGTTGGGCGCCTGTAATCCCAGCTCCTCTGGAGGCTGAGGCAGGAGAACTGCTTGAACCTGGGAAGCGGAGGTTGCAGTGAGCTGAGATCACACCACTGCACTCCAGCCTGAGGGACAGAGTGAGATTCCATCTCAAAAAAAAAAAAAAAGAAAGAAACTGAAAGGGAGTGTCATTATATTAATGTGAATATGCAGGGAAAATAGTCATAAACCAGGCCAGTTCCTGGAAAACACACATGGTCACCCTATCCCTAGACCATATGCTGTCTTGCTCGGCATCCTTCTTAACACTTTCCGTTTTTTTCTGCCCCTCAGACTACACCTTGTACTTCTCTACATAGTGAGATAAATGATAATGTCAGAGGGAGATGAAGAGAGGACCAGGCGGGAACCTAGATTACCAGCCACTGCAGACTCAAGAGATTATTATCTGTTTACTTTAGGGTCAGGGTGAGAAGTGAGCCATTGCTTTCTCCCCTTCCTTAGGTGACACCATGGATTGAGAAAGTTAACCAAACCAGGTTGTTCTGGGGACCTTTAAGGGACCAGGCTCTGTAAAGGCAGGCTGGAAGAGTGAGGCAGGGGCATTTAGCTATTCCCATCCTCATCTAGCTCCCCACTCTGGCTTCTCCCGCCAGCGGATGTGACCCTGGACCCTGAGACAGCTCATCCTAACCTAGTCCTGTCAGAGGATCGTAAGAGCGTCAAGTTCGTGGAGACAAGACTCCGGGATCTCCCTGACACACCAAGGCGTTTCACCTTCTACCCTTGCGTCCTGGCTACTGAGGGTTTCACCTCAGGTCGACACTACTGGGAGGTGGAGGTGGGCGACAAGACCCACTGGGCAGTGGGTGTATGCCGGGACTCCGTGAGCCGAAAGGGCGAGTTGACTCCACTCCCTGAGACTGGCTACTGGCGGGTGCGGCTATGGAATGGGGACAAATATGCAGCCACCACCACACCTTTTACCCCTTTGCACATCAAGGTGAAACCCAAGCGGGTAGGCATATTCCTAGACTATGAGGCCGGCACACTGTCTTTCTACAATGTCACAGACCGCTCTCATATCTACACCTTCACTGATACTTTTACTGAGAAACTTTGGCCCCTCTTCTACCCAGGCATCCGGGCTGGACGGAAGAATGCTGCACCACTTACCATCAGGCCCCCAACAGATTGGGAGTGACAGGTTGGGATGTGGGAATGACTGGGGTGAGGCAGGGTCAAGTGCTACGGGCCTCCTTCCCGTGTCCTGCTGGAACGTCTTCGTGTCCACCTGGGTCCAGTCCTGAATCATCTTGGAGAAACACCTTGGTTTCTAGGATGGTTTTGTGTGGAGGGGGAGGTAGGACTGGGCTGGATGAGAGAGCACAGCTGTGACTTCCTCCTAACTGTCAGGGTGGGGAGCTGGTTCCCAGAGGATTGTCTACCCTGAAGTCCATCAGGTTTTCTGTTGCACAAGGACGGGTCAGGAAGGAAGGAGAGGCTTTTCCAGAAACAAAAAATCTGTGAGGGTCTGACTTGCTCAAACCAGAGGAGGAAACAGAAACCCCTGCACATCTTTTTAGGGGGTTCTTTGACCCAGGATAGTCTTGCTTCTTGAGGTAGATCACAGGGGTCTGTGTACCTCTGAATTCATGAGAGATGAATGACAGATGCTCTCATGGGTCTAGATATTGAGGAGTTTTTCTGAGGGCAGAGATTGGACATCAACAAGGCTAGAAGGGTCAGGGAAGTGGGCTAAAGGAACAGATTCCTAGAGATTAATGAAGAGGAGGGAGGTTTCTTTGGTCTTCTATTCCAAGGGTAAGGTTGCGATTATGGGTAAGATTGGCCAGAGGTAGGAATGTGGGGAGAAGGAGAGGCTGAAAAGAAAGCAGAGGAGAACCCAGGTCCCTGCCTCAGCCTTCAGCAGAGTTGGCTTATTGCCTGCCTCTATACCAATAAGTCAGTCACCTTGCTCCTCTCCAGAGGCAAAGTGGAAGAGATCCTGCAAGACACATCTATCCTTTCACAGTGTTCCCAAGGGAACTTGGAAAGGAGAGTCAGGTATTAGAGGAAAGAGAAGGGTATTTGTATACAAAGCCCTGGCCTTAAAGAATGTTACTTAGTAGCTACTCCCAAATTGTCAGCCTTCTTACCTGGCCAAGGTGTCCAAGCCAGAAAGGAAAAAAGGTTATGGAGTCTTTCTCACCCTAAGGACAGGGTGGAAGAGGGTGGTATATAGGGAAGGGCCAGATAGGCAACTTCATTTGGCTTGTGTGCATCTGGCCTGGAACTGGTGTTAAGCCAGGCTTTTGCTTGTTTGTTGCCATCCCTCACCCTTTGCCATTTCCCTTTTCAGAGAATGTAAATGATTTTCATGTTAGGCCAAAATAAACAACTTATAGGGTACATATGTTGTCATAAAAGGTAAAAGTGATGCATGCCAAACCAAACTAAACCAATTTGGATTATCTGCTATTCGGGTAATCTTCACAGAAATGACTGAGAGAAGAATCTGCAGTTTACTGAGGGCATTTCAGTTCCTCCTACCACCTCAACAGGACTTTGTCCAGACTCTCCTCCTCTTACCTTTGTGCCTTGACTGTGGTTCTTTGTGGCAAGATACTTTGGTTGGTTAAAATAATATGGAACAAAGGATCCACTGAAGTGATCTCTGTGTTGTGTGGTAATTTGGTGACAGCCTTGTACTGATGTGTAAGAATCACTGGGTGTTAGACATGCATGTTCCTGGGTCTCACCCTTAGTGGTTAGTCAAGGTCTGGGGTGGGCCGGACATCTACATTTTATTTATGAGACAGAGTCTCGTTCTGTCGCCCAGGCTGGAGTACAGTGGTGATCTCAGCTCACTGCAACCTCCGCCTCCCAGGTTCAAGCAATTCTCCTGCCTCAGCCTCCAGAGTAGCTGGGATTACTATGGACTATAGCCATGCACCACCACACCCGGCTAATTTTAGTGGAGACAGGGTTTTGCCATGTTGGACAGGCTGGTCTCGAACTCCTGAACTCAAGTAATCTACCTGCCTCAGCCACTCAAAGTGCTAGGATTACAGGTGTGAGCCACCGTGCCCAGCCTACCTCTACATTTTAAACACACCACTCTCATTTGAGTCCGAAAACCCTTGTGAAACTAGTTCCAGAGGAGGTTTCAGCCATGTCCTTCCTCCCAGCTGGAGCCCTGCTTGTCTGTCCCCGCCTGGCACTGGGTCTGAAATTGGAGAGAAGTCATCCTCTCCTGACTTATGCTGCCCTCCCCATCTCAGGGTTCATTGATCTTCTACCCCTCCAATTCATGTCCCTCTGCTTCTGACTTCAGTAACTGATAGTCACTATGAGTCACAGGACACCAGACAGAAGAACTGGAAGATAGAAGAGGTCAGAGGGAGGGGTGTGAGGTGAATGTCAGTGTGGGGAGTGGGGTGAAGTTTCAGGGGCAGGGGATGCTGTTGACAGATTTCTGTGCTGTACCTAAGCCTAGGAGTTAGAAACCATTCACTCAGAAAGTGAGGATCACCTACTGTGTGTCCAGCACTGCATAACAGGAAGTGTGTTTCTTTGGTAGGTGGAATAGTAGGAGTAAACTGTGCTTTCTGAGGACCGGGAGTCCTTTTCCCTCCCTCCAGCACCCTCATGATCCTTCCCACTTTCACCCCCACTGGCACCAGTGCTTTTTTTTAATGTATTACCTCTGTGCCTTCCGTCTGTAGATCTTACAGGCATCTGCCTCGGACCTCAGGAGAGTAGGGCAGAAGCTCTAGCTGGGTATAAATTGCACATAACCATCTCCCCAACGTAGCTACATAAAGAGACCAGCCTTCTGTCCTGAAAATGGCCGATTTAAGATCCTCACCTGCTCCACTAGGTCTCTAGGTGATATAATTGGTCATGAGCTTGAGGAAGACAAAAGCACTGAAAATTCATAAAGGGACCCTGGGCATGGATTGCTGGGGTTGTGTTTAGAAACCGATGAGTTTGTGAGGCCTCCGGGAGGCTCCCGAGGGCGCGGGGACTACGTTTCCCAGGAGGCCTCGCGCGGACGCCCGGGCGGGGCTGTGCGAGGGGTGGGGCTGCGGGAGGCCCTGGAGCGCGGCGGTGATGGCGGGGCCGGTGAAGGACCGCGAGGCCTTCCAGAGGCTCAACTTCCTGTACCAGGTGAGTCTGCGACAAGGGCCCCACGGGGACGGTGCTCGGCGTCCCAGAGTGACTGCTCCCCTCCCGCAGGCCGCCCATTGTGTCCTTGCCCAGGACCCCGAGAACCAGGCGCTGGCGAGGTTTTACTGCTACACTGAGAGGACCATTGCGAAGCGGCTCGTCTTGCGGCGGTGAGACAGCCACGGGGCGGGCGGCGGGCGGGACGCGGGAGGAACGCGAGAGGGAGCGCGGGCGCCAGACCACTATCCTCCTCCGCCCCCAGGGATCCCTCGGTGAAGAGGACTCTCTGTCGAGGCTGCTCTTCCCTCCTCGTCCCGGGCCTCACCTGCACCCACCGCCAGAGACGTGAGTGCTCCAACGGAGGTGGAAGACTGCGGAGCATTGGGGGCGCGGAGGGGGGCGGGGTGGGGGGCGGGCACTGGAGGCCAACAGCGCCTTTCTCACTGTAGATGGATGTTGGGTGTGGGATTCGCAGGAGTCTTCCTTCTTCGGGTTTGGATTAAGTTCCTAACGCCACTTGCACAAACTAGGGTTTGGGCTCGGCTGTTTTTTTTTTTTTTCTTCCAGTGTGGGCAATAAATAATAACTTTTAAGAGGCAACCCCACCCATGCACAATAATAGATGTTGTTCGGCTTTGTGGAGGACGATTCCCATCACCATTCATTTATTAAGCAAATACTTATTTTCTAAAATGTGTCAGGTACTGTGCTAGATTCATTATTCTCATTGAAATTACGGTCTGATGGGACAGACTAAGAAACAAAATGGTGTAGAAAAAGATTAACTGGGGGAGTAGAATGCTCACTTACTCATGCCAGTGGTGGCGAAGTTTATGATAAGCAAAGGGAGTGAGAGATGGAAATTCTAGGCATGTGTGCAGACTCTGAGACAAGAGAGCTTGTGGTGCTGTCAAAGAAATGAGAGTTCAGGAGGCTGGAGTTTGAGGTAGGAGGGCAAAACATGAGACTGGAGGGGGAAACAGGCCAGTTCTTGAAGTCTTGTTAGGGAGTTTGAACTTTATCTTAAAGAGTTCCAGGAAATCGATGGAGCTTATGCCGAGGCCTGACACCATCAAATGTGCATTCAAATTGGGGGTGTGGTGGGGGAGCGGGGATACCTACTGAAAAACACTGGAGGCAAAACTGGCAGCAAGAGACCGTTACTTCTAAACGTGGACAGTCTTTTTCCCATGTTCACCCTAGGCTGCAGGGGACAGCGCTGGACCGTACAGACCTGCCTAACATGCCAGCGCAGCCAACGCTTCCTCAATGATCCCGGGCATTTACTCTGGGGAGACAGGCCTGAGGCCCAGCTCGGGAGCCAAGCAGGTGAGAGGTGAGGGAGAAAATGGAGGACACCCCAGAGGATAGGGACAATGGAGAACGTAGAGTGAAGAGGACACATGGACAGGTTCTGGGTTGGTGTGAGAAGTACCACAGTCAGAAAACTAATTCTGTTTCTCTGATTCTGCTCATTTACTCAGATTCCAAACCACTACAACCCTTGCCAAACACAGCCCACTCCATTTCAGACCGCCTTCCTGAGGAGAAAATGCAGACTCAGGGTTCCAGTAACCAGTGATGGATTCACCCCATCTCCCAAATAAAGTTTACTTGTTTTACATTCCATGATTCTGTTCTGTGGGTATTTCAACTCTTAATTCCATTTTCTTCTGTTTCTGTCTGTGTTTCTTGGTCACCTTTGTAATCCCACCATGCAGGGAGATCGTGATTTCCATAGACCACTTGGCCTCACTCAGCAGCTTGCATTTCCAAGGCCATGGCCCCAGTTCCCTATCAATGTCCTGAGCCACCTTAGGGCATTCCATGTTTGGGCAGCCATAATTGCTGACTGAAGAGCTGGAGAGAATGATGCCACTGCTGCTGTTTTTAAACAAGGGGAGAAATATGGGGCAGCGGAGAGTGTTTGTATCCTCTAGGCCCACTCATAGTCAGAAAAGACTCAGGTCTTTTCCCAGTCTCAAAGTTGTCTTTAATAAAATTCTGATAAAGGAAATGGCGCAAACCTGAACTAACAAAGTCAAAGATGCTAACAAAGGACACCGACAGACATTTTGCAATTATGTCCCATAGGTAAACTCTCAGAGTTTTCTTAAGAATAAACAACTAAAATGTTTTCTTCGATATCCCTAGAAAGCCTACTGAAGTACAGAATTCTTAGACTGACCTTTTTGCTAAATGCCAGCTAATAAGGTTATACCAAAAGCATACAAACAAAATTTACTACTTCCAGAATGCAGTTTTCTTTTATTTCTCTTATAAACCCTGTGTTTGCTTATCGATAGCTGTATAAAAAAATCACTTCATCATGTTGGAGCTTAAAACATAATGATTTATTATTTCCTCTGGTTCTGTGAACTAGGAATTCTGAAAGACTTTGGCTGGGTGGTTCTCCTGTTACATATGAAATCAGCTTAAATAGCTGCATTTAGCTGCTATCTCGTAGGTGGTCTGGAAGACCCAAGAAATTTCACTCACGTGTTTAGCACCTCATTGCTTCTCCAAGTAGCCTTGCTCCCTCGCTAGCTTTGATGTTCCCACAGCATGGCTGACTCAGGGTAGTTGTATTTCTTACATCCCCTCTGGCTTCTACAAAAGCATCCCAATATGTAAGTGTTTGGCTGGATGCTGTGGCTCACACCTGTGATCCCAGCACTTTGTGAGGCCGAGGCAGGTGGATCACTTGAGTTCAGGAGTTTGAGACCAGCCCGGACAACATGGTGGAACCCTGTCTGTACTTAAAATACAAAAAAATTAGCAGGGCGTGGTAGCAGGCACCTGTAATTCCAGCTACTCGGGAGGCTGAGGCAGGAGAATCACCTGAACCCAGGAGGCAGAGTTGCAGTGGGCCAAGATCGCGCCACTGCATTCCAGCCTGTGTGACAGAGTGAGACTGTCTCAAAAAAAAAAAGTGTTTATCGAGCCTCTGTTGGGGTCACACTTGCTAATGTTCCCTTGGCCAAAGCAAGGCACAGTGCCAATGCCAGATTCAATGTGGAAGGGGCTACACTGGAGTTTGAACGCTGGGAGGTTCATTAGTTCCCTGGGGATCACCAGTGTAACAATCTACCACAGGGGTCCCCAACCCCCAGGCCCTGTGGACTGGTACTGGGCTGTGTCCTGTTAGGAACCAGGCTGCCTAGTAGGAGGTGAGCAGTGGTGGAAGGGAGGGATGGGCCAGCATTACTGCCTGAGTAATCAGTGGCAGCATTAGATTCACATAGGAGCATGAACCCTACTGTGAACTGCGCATGCAAGGGATCTGGGTTGCATGCTCCTTATCATAATCTAATTGCTGATGATCTGGGGTGAAATAGTTTCATCCCAGAACCATACCCTTCCTGCTCCATGGAAAAATTGCCTTTCACAAAACCAGTCCCTGGTTAACCTGTCCCTAGTGCCAAAAAGGTTGGGGATCACTCATCTACCACATTCTTGTTTTGCCTTTGTCCCTGACTTGGTCTCTCCACTGCCTCCTTCACATGTCAGTAAATTATTTGCGTAGAAAATACTAAACAGTGTACATGTAAGTAAATGTTTCTGAGTCATCCTTTGACATTTTATTTCTGGAAATAGTGCCTACCTGGGTCAACTTTCAGTCCAACAAAAATGTGTAGCCTGAAAGTAACACCTCGTGCATACCTGGGTCCTTTGCATCCTCAGCTCACCTTCCATGGCTCCTCCAGTAAGTTTAATTTGGGATGACTGAGCTCGACTCTTGCACACTTAATCTGATCTTTGGCTAAGTTTGTCTTGAGTGTGTTATGATTGCATGTGACTGAACATGTCTACAGTGGGATAGCAGTGGGGAAACTGAGTTTCGATTTCATGGCTCAGTCACTAAGTGATTCCTCTCATGTGGGAGATCATGGGAATCAGGTCCCAGTCAGGATGAGCGGCAGACAAAACAGTATCTGGAATCTGGTTCACTTGTGAGTCTTTGTGGTTTCTTTATTTGTTGTGGGTTTCTATCAATATATAACTCTAAAGATCACAGCCCTCTTCCTCTTTCCACAGCCCTCTTCCTCTTTCCTTTTTCATGTTTAATTATAAATATATGATTACATATATAACATTTATATTCTATACATTGATACATGATTCTATGTATTAATACAGATACATCATAAAGATATATAATGTGATAGTGGCATATTATATGCAAAAATGGATTTCCTAGATGAAAGATGAAAATAAACTGAATCCCTGGAATGCAGTAGCTTTCTCAAGTGTTTCTAGAAGTTCAATAACTCAAAATTTATGCCCTTTTAGGACTCTAAATAAAATTAAAGGAGAGAGAAGAAACTTAGGTTATTCAAATCGAATCAAGAAATGAGGTCTTCCAGTAACCATAGAAACTATGCCTTAGTCACTCCCTGAACATTAAGTTCATTTAGCACTTTCAAAACTAGTGAAAACCAGTATCGTTATTGTCAGGAGGCAAAAGAGAGAAGGATTGAGAGACTGTTATTTTGAATTCAAGTAGCAAAAACGTTAGAAAAGACAGGTCTTGAACATTGAGGAATCTGAGTTATTGTCACCATAATAAATCAGTGTGTATCTCTAATTTAAAACAATTATATCACTATGAAGATAGTGCCTATGCTTAGTAACTGCTTAATAAATTTTCAAAACTATTTTGAAATATAGATTCACTGGAAGCTGCAAAGAGCATACTGAAATGTCCCCTACATCCTCACCCAGTGCCCCCCAGTGGTTCCTCTTTTTATTGTGGTAAAATATACTTAACTTAAAATGTATCATTTTAGCCATTTTAAAGTGTACAATTCAGTGGCATTAAGTACATTTGCAATATTATACAATCACCACCACTATTTAGTTCCAGATCTTTTTCATCATCCCAAACAGAAACCTGTTTCCATTAAACAGTCACTTCCAATTTTTCCCTATTCCAGCCCTTAGCAACCACTAATCTGTTTCTGCCTTTACGGATTTGTCTATTCTGTATATTTCATATAAATGGAATCATACAATTTGTAGCTTATTGTGTCTGATTTCTTTCACTTAGCATAATGTTTTCAGGGTTCATCCGTGCTGTAGCAAATGTCAGTATTTCATTCCTTTCTATGGCTGAATAGTAGCCGATTATATGGATATACCACATTTTGTTTATCCATTCAGCCATCAATGGACACTTCCGTTATTTCTGCTTTTTGGCTATTGTGAACAGTGCTGCTATGAACATTTGTGTACAAGGTTCTGTTTCAGTATCTGTTTTTAGTTTTTTTGTTGGAGGATATAGGTGCGGTTCGTTTGATAGTTTTATATTTTAACTTTTTGAGGAACTACCAAACTGCTCTTCATGGCTGCTGCACCATTTTGCACTCCCACCAGCAATGCACATGGTTCTAATTTCTCTCCATCCTAATCTACACTTACTTTCAGTTTGTTTTGTTGTTTATTATAGCCATCCTATAATAACATTCTAGTGGGTATAAAACCGCTAGAAGTCAATCCAAAACACTAGACAAAAACCACAAAACCTCTTTGTGGTTTTGATATACAGTTCTCTAATGAGTAATGATGTTGAGCATCTTATGTGTTTGTTGGCTATTTGTATATTTTCTTTGGAAAAAGGTCCTTTCAAGACCTTTGCCCATTTAAAAAAAATAGGTTGCCTTTATGTTTTGAGTTTTAGGAATTCTTTATATATTCTGAATACTAGACCCTTATCAGATATATGATTTGCAAACATTTTCTTTCATTCCGTGGATTGTCTTTTCACTCTCTTGATAGTATATTTTGATGTATAAAAGCTTTTAATTTTCATGATCTTGCAGCTACTTCCTCAAGAACCAAACTGTCTCTCTCAGACCTTATCTTCTGCCTCCATCCTGATTCTTTTTGGAGCTTGTTCTAACCCTGGCCCTGCCCACTGTGACCTTGACACTACTTAATTAGGACCCCCTCACCTCCTTTCAGACCTGGTGCCTCCAACTATATCCTGCCTCACTCTGCTTTGAAACAGGAAAGTGTTCCCCCTGGACTCTTAGAGTAGATGTGGGTATCTGAGTTTCTCTTCCTAAAATCCTTTCCTTCTTAGAGCGATCAATGAGCCCTGTTGAATGGCCTATGGAAGGGAAATGAATGTTCTAAATTTCCTCTGACCCTTTTCTTCGGACCCCCAAAGGCATTCCCCACCAGCACCCACTATGACCCCATCTCTGACTGTAATACCACCCTGAGGTGCTGGGCCCTGGGCTTCCACCCTGAAGAGATCACATTGATCTGGCAGCAGGATGGGGAGGACTATACCTAGGACATGGAGCTTGCAGAGACCATTTTATCTTTTTGACAACTTTTTTTTTTTTTTTTTTTTTTTGAGACAGAGTCTCACTCTTGCCCAAGCTGGAGTGCAGTGGCGCGATCTTGGCTCACTGCAAGCTCCGCCTCCCAGGTTGATGCCATTCTCCTGCCTCAGCCTCCTGAATAGCTGGGACTACAGGCACCCGCCACCATGCCCGGCTAATTTTTTGTATTTTTAGTAGAGACGGGGTTTCACCGTGTTAACCAGGATGGGCTCGATCTCCTGACCTCGTGATCCACCCGCCTCGGCCTCCCAAAGTGCTGGGATTACAGGCGTGAGCCACCGCACCCGGCTGACAACGTTTTTTAAGCTCTCTGTACTGTATATACATCTAATTCAGTGTTTTGGACTGCCATAGATTATGCTTTTAAAACATTTTGTTTATCCCTTTTCTTATGGATAGTCAACTAGTTTGCTTCCAACTATATGTTACCATATATATCTCTGTAGTAGAATTCTAGACCATGGACCTATGAGAGTGGGCCTCTGGAGTACTTAGCCACAATTACAAATTGGATTCTAGGTTTGTGTGTATGGAAATTACCTGAGGAAAGTCAAATTTTCCTTCAGCTTCCACAGTCTATACTCCCTAGCAATATACCAAGTTCATCTTTCTTTACATGCTCAGTTGATTTTAACTGACTTCTTAATCTTTGTCACAATCTAATCAGTATCAACTCTTTCCCTTTCTTGTTGTAACTTGAGTTTCTCTTATTGCCAGTGATACTGTGTAGCTTCAAATAAGTCATCATCATTCATTTTTCTCTTTCTTTGAACTGCCTATTCAAATGTTTCCCCCTATTTTTCCACTAGATTTCATGGTGTTCTTTTCTTTTTGCTTTGAAGGGTGTTATGGGCTAAATGTTTGTGTTCCCCCAAAATTCATATGTTGAAGCCCTAACCCCCAGTGTGGTGGTATCTGGAGGTGGGACCCTGGGGAGGTAATTAAGTTTAGATGAGGTCAGGAGGGGGGGGCCTCCGTGATGGGATTAGTGCTCTTTTAAGAAGAGGGAGATTGGAGCTCTCTTTCCCTACCTTGTGAGGACACCGAAAGAAGGCAGTCATCTGTATGCCAGGAAGAGGATCCTCACTGGAACTGAATCTGCTGTCACCTCCAAAACTGTGAGAGATAAATGTCTGTTGTATAAGCCACCCAGTCTGTGGTATTTGTTATAGCAGCCATGGCTGACTAAGACCTAAGGTTTTGGTTGTTTTGTTTGTTTGTTTGTTTGTTTTCTTGTAATGGAAAAGAATTCTTTTAGAGTTTTACCTGGTACATTTGTGCCTTTAATACATTTTGAGTTGATTTCTACAGATTGTGTGAAGTAATCTGCTGGTTCTCTAAGGCTTCAGTGAATGCCTCCTCTCCAAGCTGCACTTGAGTCCTCCCATCTGCCTGGGCCTGGAGCTTCTTATGAAGCCTCAGCTGCAAGCAGTGGTCAGTGGCAATTTCTTTCAGGAGAGAGCCTGCCTTCAGCCAGTCTCCTGACAAACAGCATGCTGGAAGCATCAGCCCTTCCCACTGCCTTTGCTTTCTGTTGATGACCCATTCTTCATGGAGAGTGGTGTTTCTCTTGTCCTTAACTCAACTATAACTTTTCTCTTTTTACATTTTTCTTATTGCCATGTAATTTGGGGCAGAGAGTCTTTGCCTAAGCATGAACTTATTGTGCCATCCTGACCAAAGCCTGTCATTTAGGGATGTGTCCTGCTTTGTGGTGGGTCATTCTGAAATTACCCGTTTCAGCCCAGTGGAATTTAACCAGAACTGTGGGATTGAAACTGTCTCTTGAAGAGGAACTGTGGGGAAAATGAACAAACCAACATTCAGGCTCAGTTGGAGTATGCTTTTAGGCTTTCCCAGGTTATGGAGTATAAAGCTAATTGTTGATTCATTCCTTCTTGGCTTTACAGTTGTAGAAAGAGATCTGGCCTAAAATCCCTATAACTGGGACAGGCTGAGTCCAGGCTCTGACATTGGCCAGCTGTGCGACTGGGCAATATTTTGTTTCACTCTCTAGCCTCATTTTCAATAGGTAATACATGCAAGTAGCAGGAAATTCAGAAAGTATGCAAATAGATAGGGGAATTAATTTTCCAGCTACCCATTTTATCTTCCAGAGGAGAATACGGTAAAAATATTCTGGATATTTTTGTAAATATATATAAACAAGTTGGTATTGATTTAAATTTTTCTTTCATACAAATGGTAGAATACTATTCTATGGGTCATATACTGCTTTTTATTTAGCAAAAAAACTTAGTGCTCTTACCATTTTAGTATCTAACATCAGCTTCATTATTTTTCATCACTGCATAATATTCTATTGTGTGGGTATACCATAATTTATTTAGTCTGCTCCCTGTTGAGTATTTACCTTCTTTCAAATGTTCTGCCCATAAACAATATGTAAAGCTTAGGTATGGCTATACATCCAGCATGGATGAGTCTTCAAAACATACTATTCAGTGGCTGGGTGTGGTGCCTCACGCCTGTAATCCCAACACTTTGGGAAGCTGAGGCTGGTGGATCACCTGAGGTCAGGAGTTCGAGACCCACCTGACTAACATGGAGAAACCCCATCTCTACTAAAAATACAAAATTAGCCTGGCTTGGTGGCACATGCCTGTAATCCTAGCTACTCAGGAGGCTGAGGCAGGAGAATCGCTTGAACCCGGGAGGCAGAGGTTGCAGTGAGCCGAGATCACGCCATTGCTCTCCAGCCTGGGCAACAAGAGCGAACTGTCTCAAAACAAAAAAAAAAAAAGAAAAAAATCAAACCAAAAAAAACATACTATTCAGCAAAACTCCAGATACAAAAGAACACATATTGTATGATTCCATTTATGTACTGTTCAAAAACAATAAAATATGAATATACATACAGACATATAATTTATTATTTAGTGATTTCTTCTTAGGTGGGAAAACTTTGAAAATAAAGCAAGAAAACATCGCCTGAAAATTCAGGGTAGTAGCCAATTGGGAGGGGATGTGATTGCTGGAGTAGAGGCACCTGGGCTGCCAGCAACGTTTAATTTCTCAAGTAAGATAGTAGGTACATTGCATGTATGCTTCATTTAGCTGTACTTTTTTGCATTTATGTCATGTTATTGTTCACGATAAAAACGACTTTAAAGTGAAGTGAAAAGAGTACTATGCTTAAGCTTTTTGCTCACATTTTATTTTACACCTGGGTCTTTATCCACATGATAAATTTCTAAAGGTTAAGTTGCCAGATCAAATACTTTTGCAGTTAAATTTTGATGGAAAATACCAGTTGCCTTTCACAGAAATTACATCAATTTACTCCCCATACAAAACAAGACACAAAATAGTGTCTGATTACCTTACCTTCACCAGCACAATAAGGCATCATCAAATCTTTGGGTTTTGATCACCTGATAAATAACGGTTTCTGTGTATGTGTGTGTGTGTGTGTTTCTGTTATAGGGCCCTAATAATGATTTATGTAAATGTGTACAGAAGTAACTCTTTCAAGTGGTCAGGCTCCAGTGGGTGGGAAACACCTTTATAAAAAAATTGAGAAATTTTGTAGTCTTATTCCAGCCTAATGTAAAAAAAAAAAAATCAAGAACTGCACAAATGTGATTTATGGGTATTGTATCCCAAACGGTCCCATCTCTACTTAACAAATGGATTGACCCATCCTGATATGTCTATTTTTTCATTTCCTAAAACAAATGAGGCTTAACTTCTCTGACCCAAATTGTCCTTGCTGTGCTTCAAGGGGGACCTAGGCAAGGATGTGGGTCAGGGGCAGATGGACTGAAAACGTGTGCAGTGAGTGAGCCAATCATGTTTTAGGAAGATTAAAGCTCCTGAGACAGAGGACTCCTAGGCAGAGATGGCAGCGAGCTCCCCAGCTCAGGCTTTTAGCACCGCCAACTCTCTGGTAAAAGCAGCTGCACCCACCTCTTCCCTTCACTCTCACCTCCTATGTTCTTGGGCATCAAACGTAATTTTGCTTCAGAGCTCAAGGGCAGTGCAGCCTAAGGAAAACTTGTAAGAATTCCTCAGTCTTGAAGTCCTTTGCCTGAAACCAAGGAGAGATCAAGGCCTAGGGAGAAGAAGGGGAACATTCTCTTTGGAATGCTGGGTATTTCTAAGCAGGAGTAGGGGGCCCTGCCCTGGAGGGAAGGTTTGCCTTGAACTGCTCTGCCTGCACCCTGCCCCAAACTCTGCACTCTCCAGGTCCTAATCCAAACAAGTACAACAGGAGGCTGAGTTTGCAGTGGAGAGTGAAATAGCATGATAGTTACAAAATTGTCAGGACTTGTATGTGGTTGGATGCTATTGTTTTTATCTTCTTTCATTCACTGTTTTCTGCAGTATCACTTTTGCCCAAATATATTTAAAGAAAAGAATTGTATCTCTACTTTCAATTTAAAACTAGTATTTTTCTAATACATTAAAATAACAAAGGAACCAATTATATATTAATATAAACAAAAAACTAAATTAAAAACTAACTTGGGCCATGTGTGTCTATAATCCTAGCACTTTGGGGGGCTGAGGCTAAAGAATCGCTTGAGGCCAGGAGTTTAGAACCAATCTGGGCAACATATTGAGGCGCTATCTCTATAAAAATTAAAAAAAAAATCAGCCGGGCCTAGTGACATGCATAGTCCCAGCTACTTGGGAGGCTGAGGCAGGAGGATCGCTTGAGCCCAGGAGTTCCAGGTTACAGTGAGCTATGATCTCGCCACTGCACTCCAGCCTGGGCAACAGAGTGAAATCCCGTCTTTAAAAATAAGAAAAACTAATCTGTCATTCTGCCAAATAAAGATGCCTCTGGGAAATCCAACTCTGAGTGATGTCTCAGCTATCTTCTACACATCAGTTCTCAAGTGAACCCCCTTCCCTCAGGACATGTGGCAATGTCTGGATATATTTTGATGTTGTCACAATCAGGAAGGTGTTGGTGTTACAGGCATCTAGTGGGTAGAGGCTAGGAATGTTGCTAAACATCCTACAATTTACAGGACAACCTCCACAATAAAGAGTTATGTGGCCTGAAACATCAAGTACTCACTGTAACGCTGAGGTTGAGAATCCCTGCTCTACACAGATCCTCTGAGCCTGATGCTCCAGGCAGGCTTCCTCCCCTGTAATACCCACAACACCTGCATAAATTGCTGTGTTAGCTCTTATCACACTGCAAGGTCATTGCATTTATTGTCTCCTCTTTACAACTGTGGGTTCCTGGAAAGCAGGGGCTCTGTCTGATAGCTATGTTTTGTAACTATGTGTTTTATGCCTTATATTTTTCTCAGCACTTGAACATTGCCTGGCACATAATATTTGCTCCACAAATAACTGCCAGAGGCATGAGTTTAGTTTTGAGACACCTAGGAAACAGCAGAAATTAGCAATGATTAGTGAGATAAAGAGAAGGTTATTAATAAAGCCCTCCCTTTATTACATCGGTCCTTCCTAAAACCCCAGTGTGGATGGTAACATGATTACATCCATTTTATACATAAGTTAATTAATGCTTAGATAATTTACATGACGTGTCTAAGATCTCATGACTGGACAGCGGACTAGTTGAGACTCTCGCACAACTTATCTGACTTTAAAACTTCAATTCTCCTATTATTATGCAAAGACTGCCCCTTAAATATACTCCTACTAAAAGACTATGAGTGGCCGGGTGCGGTGGTTTGTGCCTGTAATCCCAGCACTTTGGAAGGCCAAGGAGGCCGGATCACTTGAGGTCAGGAGTTCGAGACTAGCCTGGCCAACATGATGAAACCCCGTCTCTACTAAAAACACAAAAATCAGCCGGGCGTGGTGGCGCATACCTGTAGTCCCAGTTACCTGAGAGGCTGAGGTGGGAGAATCGCTTGAACCCGGGAGGCAGAGATTGCAGTGAGCCGAGATGGCGCCACTGCACCACAGCCTGGGCGACAGAGCGAGACCCTTTCTCAAGAAAAAAGAGAAAAAGAAAGACCATGACAGACGCCTCTGCCTTCAAGGTGGCCAACTGGGCACAAAATCTTTCCTCCTTGACTCTTAAGATATTGTTAAAACGTTATTAGGGGAACTGAAATCCAAATTGTAAAGAAGGATGAGTCCAGTGGTGAAAATTTTCCACAAATATTAGAAATAGAAAAAAACCCTTACTGACCTATGAAAGAAGGCAGAAGTCCTAGCGCATAAGAAACGCTAGAGGGGGCTGTAGCCCAGAGAAAACCAATCAACCTACCAAATAGAGCCCCAGAAAGAAACCTCCTCCTCGCCCCTCCGCCTTCCTCTGTGTTCCTGCCGCTCCTCCATTCCTTCTTTGGAAGACGCAGCTCCTGCATTCCTTCTTTGGAAGACTCCCCCCTTCACCGAGGTTACCTACCAAATCCGCCATAGGGTGTGGTCCAGGGTCGAGTTATCACAGACCTGTCTCCCCAAGGTCCCCGCGTCGCGTTATCTAGGCAGAAGCGCTGACCCCGCATCCCTCCCGTCGGGACCCCACGCGCTGCCCCAGTGAAATGAAATCCTGGTGCTTGTGGCGTGCGCTGCGCGGTTCCACTCCGCTGTGCCTTCCTTTCCGCCCGCCCCCGACGGCTGGACGCCCCTCTGTCGATTGGAGCGGTCCTTAGTGCTACGTGTCCTGGGATCCCCAAAGTTGACCGCCCCCACAGGGTGTGCCAAAGCTCATCAAGCGCCATTCCAGTCTCAACCTTTATCTTTTACAATTTAAAATTTATTTATTATCCATGTAAGGAGAATAACTGGTACACTCAGCGCAGTTCTGCATATATATAGGCCATAAAAGGAAATGAAGCTTGCGTGACACTTTCCGTGAAAGCAATAGTACCGAACTACAAATCAAACTGCATCTTAGCCGATCTCCTGAAGAAGAGGAAAAGCCTTGCCAAATGCGTCTTCCCAGCAGGATGCAAACCTCCTTCAGCAAACACTGAGTAAATCTGGGAGTGCTGAGACATAGTACAATGCGAGTTTTCAGTGTAATTGAAAAAATTGAAAAAATTGAAAAAAAAATAACTAAATTAAGATTTTCGACTGTTTTCAAGGACAGTACTGAGGCAGCACGTTTGCAGAGTGATATTTTTCAAAAATGCTGTAAGAAACTATAAAATCAGCTGGAGATATTCTGTTGAAATGTGTTTTTCTACAAAGCAGAGTCAAAAATCACACGCTATGTAGTACACAAATAAAGTGGAAGCTGTCGATACACGTATAAATATAAAGGATTTTTGCTTACACAAAAAATATTCCAATGTCCCAATATGCAACATTGCTGAACAAATATGGAGCTAAACAAGTGGCTTCTAATGAATTATTCTAATAAATTTTACTCCGATAAATTACATACTTAAAATATTATATTTAAAAACAAACTGGAGAGCTGTAGAAGAAACCCTATTTATCCTCATGTGAAGTTTGAGATTTGTTTGTAATTTTTTTTAAATTAATGCAGGAGAGAAGTGCGTCGTTGAAACAACCACCTCGAGTAAAACAGCATTTCTTCTCACCACACAACAAAACAAAAACCCCACTTGCTGCATTTCAGTTTAGAATTTATTGTGTTCACTTTAAGCAGGGAATGTATCAAAACTCAAAATTTAGCAGACGTTTTAATGATTTAAGAACTATTATAGAAAATACTTTTTTTCCAGGAATAAGTTGCTATATCTTAATTACTAAGTAACCCCAATTCCTATTGCTTTTAGAACTTCCCAGTTTGCTTCAGAGTTCAACGGCCCAGTGTGCAAAACTGACTCGTGAATTTTGTAGGTGATGTGGATTCACCCTGTCTAGCAGGAGTCTGCAGCACTGGCTGAAAAAACTGTTTCTGTGGTGCCTGATGAGAGACTTATGCTTTTGGCAATTGCATACTTAGATACGTCACCCTGTAGAGCCTTCACTGCTTCCCAATCCACCCCTCACTCCCACCTAATCTCTGACCAGGAGTAAACCCTAAGATGAGCTTAGAGGCTCCTGTGGCTAAGGGCAGTGAAATCCACTAAAGTGTGTCAGGGCTGAGAGAATATCGGAATTCTGCAACTGTGCCCCAAATTCAGGATTCTCTACTTTCAGTTCATCGTGGCTTTTGTGGAGCAGGGCTACACATTGTGGGTAATCTGTGGGGTTTCAGTTACCTATTGCAAGACATTGTTTACTCTTCTCACTCCATGTCCTTTATATGGTGCAGTAAAACTCTAGTGGGGGCTGCTGGTGCTGGGTGTTGGCGGGGGCCTCCTACCCAGCAGCTGCTGCTGCTGAGCTCTGGAAGTTTGCTATGGGCCATGGATTGGGTAATGTGTGTCTAGGTTCTATGTAGGAAGGCTGACCACTTCCACCTGGAGCCATAGCTCAGGAAGGAGGCAGATGAAGCAGATGAATAATCACCAGCGTGTCTGGAAAGAGTGAGACACTCTGGAGACTCAAGGGACAGTGTTGGCGATTTATTGGAGGTTTGCAGTGTCACAATAGGAGGGTGTTTCAATAGGAGGAAAACATGGTCCAATTGAAGAAAGGGCCAGAAGGAAGAAAAGAGGAAGATGGGCTCCAGTGCTAGAAAAGAGAGACCAAATACAGTCGAAAAAGCAGAGAAATGTATTTTTCCTCAAGTTCTTCTGCTGTCACTTTCACTGCAGATCTCAGCTTTGCTCTTCCAGAGTCCCTCCTTTGGCACTGCACTGCAGCCCTCTAGCCGACCGAGGGCGGCTCCTGTTCTCTCTGCAGACTGCACATCCCTGTCCTCGCTCAGCGCTCCCCATCTGCTGTCGCTCCTTCCAAGTGCACGAATACTTAGAGCTTAATCCCCGCAAACCTAGTTTGCGTGACAGTGCCCCAAGCCGGGAGACCCACAGCTCCTTTCCCTCTGGACCTCTAACTGACCTGCAGCAGCGGGCTTAGTACTCAGCTCAGCACGCTTCTGGTCTCTGGTTCAGCCTTCTCTCCCACCTAGGCCTATGGAGCTACTCCATCTCAGGCTTCTGCTCTTGTCTGGGGTGCGAATCGTAGTGTGTGGCCACTTCCCCAGCTCAGATCATCATTGCCTGTCCCTGGGATTTCTGCCAAAATTTCCCAACACATTTCTTTGCCTTCAGTCTTGTTCTCCTCCAAAGACTGCCTGCAACCAGAGAGGTCTTTGTAAAGGAAAATGTCATCTGTCTCTCTCCTACTTCAAAACTTTCATGGTCCACATAATCATCTCGATTGACACAGAAAAGCATTTAACAGAATTCAACACCCTTTCTGATAAAAACATTCAACAACCTAGGAATAGAAGGAAACTACCTCAACACAATAAAGGCGATATATGAGCAGCCCATCACTAACATCATATTCAAGGAGAAAGAATGAGGAAGGCTTTTTCTCTACCATCAGAAACAAGACAAATATACCTATTCACCACATCTGTTCAACTTAGTATTGGAAGTTCTAGCCAGAGTAACTAGGCAAGAAAAATAAAGTAAAACACCCAAAATGGAAAGGAAGAAGTAGAATTATCTTTGTTAGAAGACAGCATGATCATATATGCAGAAAACCCTAAGGATTACACACACACACACACACACACACACACACACACACAGAGGAAGAGAGAGAGAGAGCACTAATAAACAAATTCAGCAAAGTTGCAGGATACAAAATCAATATGTAGCAGTCAGTTGTATTTCTATACCATGCCTTGCAACATGGTGTTTCTTCTAGTCCTGAAGAGGCAAGTTGACCCAGTCCAGGTAGAGCACCGACTTAGAAAGAGAAAGAAGGAAACAGCTGAAAAAATCTGAGAAGGCATATCAACTTGTGAGCCAAATATAAATCATAATGTGTGTTAGATTAACGAAATGTACTTTCTCATAGTAATACAGTATTTCTAAGTTCTGCTCAGATACTGTTACTGTGTATGTTTCTAGAAAACACAGCCCCAAATGTGCATAGTCTTGAATACAAAAGAATCAAAAGCCATCAATATGTGGTATAAATCCTTAAAGCATTTTAATTGCTAAAAATACATGCCAAAGTCACAGTAAACAACATTGCTCTGCAAACTATAAGATATAAATAATTTGCCTCTCTATAATAATTTTACTCACAAATTACTACCTGAGTAATCTCGTTAATCGTCCCTAATCTCATCCTAATCCCCAGAAACTGTGAGTGTTGCCTTATTTGGGAAAAAGGACTTTGTAAATGTGATTAAGAATCTTGAGAGAGATTATCTTGGATTTGCTGGGTGGGCCCAATATAATCACAGTGGTCCTTATCAGAGGAGGCAGGAAGTGTCAGAGTCAGAGGAGAAGGGAATGTGATGATGCCAGGAGAGACTGAAGTGATTCATTTTGAAGGTGGAGGAAGGGCTTACAAGCCAAGTAACATAAACAGCCTTAGAAGCTGGACAGGATTGGGGAATGGGTTCTCCCCTAGAGCCTACAGAAGGAACCAGCCCATCTGACATCTTGATTTTAGTCCACTGAAAGTAATTTTGAGTGAACTGAAGTCCACTCAAAATTATTTTAATTTGCTGATTTCAAGAGCGGTAAGTGAATACATATGTTTTATATTAAGTCACCAAATTTGTGGTAATTTGTTATAACAGCCATAGGAAACTAATGTACTACTTTGGTAGTCTGGAAGACAACCCTTCCAAGGATATCCATGTCAAATCCTTGGAACATGTAACTATTACTTTATATGACAAAAGAGTGAATATTACTTTGTATGGCAAAAGATATGATTAATTTAAGAATGTTGAGAGGATGAGCTAGCCTGGAGTATCTGGGTGAGCCCTAAATGCAATGACATGTATTTTTATAAAAGACAAGGAGAGGGAATTTTTAAAAACTTTTATTTTAGGTTTGAGGGTACACGTTGAAGGTTTGTTACATAGGTGAACCTGTGTCACAGGGGTTTGTTGTACAAATTATTTCATCACCCAAGTATTAAGCCCAGTACCCATAGGGAATTTGAGGTTCACAGACACACAGAGGAGAAGGTGATGTGAAGACAGAGGCAGAGATTGGAGTGATGCAGCCACAAGCCAAGGAATGCCTGCAGCCACCAGAATATGACAGATGCAAGGAACTGATTCTCCCCTAGATCCTCTGGAAGGGGCATAGCCCTACTGAGATCTTGATTTGGGGCTCCTGGCCTCCAAGGTTGTGAGAAGATAGATTTCTGTTGTTTTAAACCATCAAGTTTATGGCAATTTGTTGCAGCAACCACAGGAAACTAATACAACTATCACAATCTAATGTTTAAAAAGCAATTAATTGGATGGTTGTAAGGCAAAATTATGTATCTCAAATTTAAAAGTTGATACCTGTTTGCAAGAAACTCATTAAATGCCAAAGAAGTACTTGATTCAAACAAGTTCCTTGAATTCAAAATCAATTATTTGTATCTAAAAGTATAAATTGCGTTCTATCTGCATCACCATATGTTAACAAGACAATGCAAAGCTCAAAATGTAATTTTGTATTATTTTAAGTATTTGTGAAACATTATACAAATTAAATAACTTTGTTTTAAAAAAACAGAAACATCGCTGTGCTACAGTATTCCAAAACTTCCAAAGATCCTACTACCCACTTATGTTGTTATTAGACATTATAAATTTGCTTTTTGATTCAAAAATTTCACTGTAGTAAACAGAGCTATTTGTTCCTGAAAACTAACTTTTAGGGTTTGTACCGGTGAGAACTTTCTCCTTCAGGAGCCTGCAGTATGTGTGGGCAAAATCAGATTCTATGATGCCTGGTATGGAACTTCTGTTTCCTTCAGGGTGACAGAGGGTCATATTGTTCTCTGCAGAGCTCCAATGCATCCCCATCTTCAATCCCGCCAGGCCAAAAGCAATCCCTAAGATAAGTCTGGGTCTTTGTGGCTGATGTTTGTAAACTGTGTTGAACCTGTAATGAGGCCTTCATTTCCCTTTAGGCTTTGGTTAAAAGTGTGTCACAATTGTGGATCAATGATTAAGTTAAACTTCTCATGAAGTGGCAGATTATATGCTGTGCCTGGTGGTGAGGTTTCAGGTTTCAGGTTCCTGCTGCTAAAGCTCTGCATCCCTTCCACTGCAGGCCCTTACTTGGGGCAACAGTACTTGTCCTGTGAGGACCTGTCAGTGTCACCCCCAGTGCTGGTGGTGCTCAATGGTTGTTATGGAAACCAGGGATTAGGTAATGTTCTCTAGTTTCTACATAGGAAAACTGATCACATTCAACTGAGGAAACATTGCTCACTAAGGAAACGGATGGATCCCCACCAAACTTTCTTGAACGGCACTCAACATTGGTCCCTCAATGTCAGACTACATGTTCAACAGAGTAAAATATGCCCCTGGGATTCTCTCAAGATTGCTCAAGGCTTTGCTTTGGTATGTCATCATTTTATGCATCATTGTTGGAAGCGAGAAAAGTTTTAACAATTGTCATGTTATATCCAGAGGATAAAGCTGAATCTAATATCTAGATTTCTATGTATCAACTGGCAATGTTTGGGAACCGGCAATACTTAAGAACCTTATAAAGTCAGGGCTTTGAAGTGTACTTTAAAATAGATTTCCCATCCTCTGAAGTACACAAACATCTTTCCAAAGGCACCTAACCCACAAGGATTCCTCTTGATAGAACCAGATGTGAAGTTGCTACAAAGAAATGATGGTGTATGAGAAACCATGACTTCCCAGGGTCTGCGTTTGCTGAAGTCACTGATTATGAAGTCATTTTCTCTGTGGGTTTGGGTGTTAGGAAGAATCCACTGTGACTCCATTGTGGATCCATCCTCACTCAACATTCAGAAAATCAGCAGCACATTTGGTCAACACGGCATCTTTCCCTTGCACTGCTGGATGGAGCTAGTCCAGGCGACATGAACTTCTTTCTCTCACTCTCTCTCTCTTTTTTTTTTTTTTTTATACAAAGTCTTGCTCTGTTGCCAGGCTGGAGTGCAGTGGCATGATCTTGGCTCACTGCAACCTCTGCCTCCCAGGTTCAAGTGATTCTTCTGCCTCAGCCTCCTGAGTAGCCCATCTAATTTTGTATTTTTAGTGGAGACGGGGTTTCACCATGCTGGCCAGGATGGTCTCGATCTCCTGACCTCCTGATCCACCCTCCTCACCCTCCCAAAGTGCTGGCCTTTTCCCTTTTGTAGTCTTCACAGTGTCTTTTGATCTTGGGCTCCACAGAGTGGCATCTACAGGTCATAGTTGTCAGTGACTCAGGGAGACCAGGAGGTGGCAGGCAAGTGAGGGGAACCCAGAAGTAGCCAGTACCTGTTCAATGCCAGAAAAACCTGGCCAGGACATGCCCTTCAGTATTGAGGGACACAGTGGCAGCTGTGGTGAGAACTGTGGAAACCAGCATAAAGCTGAATTATAAATCAGTATATGTGGTCCAGTACAGACTGCTTCCAGGCTCTCTGTGGTCACAATCACAATTAGAATTGGATTATAATTAAATCCAAGTCTCTCTGAGCATTATATTGTCACAGTCTATCACTGTCTCTAGAGGAGATTAAATAAATATTTTTGGATCTATCATTGATGCATTATCAATGATTTTGTAAAGTAAATTATGAAAACCTAAAAAAATGTCTCCTGGCTATTTATCCTTCACTTGCCAGTCACTATGATTGTCTCTTCCCATTTTCCTGTTCTTCTCAGGGTGTTTCTGGGACCTTCAGTAGAAATTCTCAACTCCAGGTTTTCAGCTGTTTCTGCACAGAGGACATAGTCCTGTCCCAAACTCTCTAGTGTCACACACACACACACACACACACCCCGTCCTGAGACCCCTTCCTTTCTCTCAAGTTTCTGGGATCACATCACATGTCCCAGTGGTTGTACCTCCAGGATTTTGAAGTGTCTCATCTCCTCCTGCTTTCCTAAGGAGAAAGGATGGAGGAAAGGAGCCTGGTCTCTTCAGGATTTTTTTCATATTTAGGCCCTTCTAGCCTGGGAATGAAAGGACACCACACATTAGTGAGCAATTATGGAGGCACCAAGAGACGTCATCCAGCAACTGTGCATGGGAGGGAGGTTCAACAGGAGGACCAAAGAGCCAGATCATAGAAAGGATCACGAGAAAGGAGTGGGGGAGCTAGCAGGTTCCCAGTGGCAAATCAATTACAGAGTAGACCAAATGCCTGCAAGTGTGCAGAGGTTCTGAGCCAGGGGTTATTGTCTTGTGCATCTTCTAGCTACTTTGGATTTACCTTCCCCTACATGACTCCCACAACCTTTAGCTGCTGCACATCTTGTTGAGTGACAACCTGCAATTCTACTCTACTCTGGGCTCCACACTGTGTTGCCCACCCCGTCCTAGTGCCAGAAACATGGAAAATCCCAGCCCAGGGGCTCCCTTGTTCACTCCCATTCTGCCCCTTCACTGGGGTGTGCAGGTGTTAGACCTCTCCTCTGCTCCACAAGTGGGAGCTTCAGGCTTTCCCGACCCTGCCCCCGAGCCTTTGTAGCTGCACCATCTCTAGTGCCTGTCCTCCTGGATCCCAGCGTAGTCTCCACAGCCCTAGATCTTGTCACTCTTTCTGTTGTTCAGAGTTCTTCAAAATCTCCCAACTCATTTTATTGCCTCCAGTCTTGCTCTGACCCAAGCAAGACTTGGGTCAGTGCCCTACAATTGCAGGAATCCTGCTGAAACAAAAATCCACTTTTGTTTCTTTCTTACTTAAAATATTTTAATGACTCACTATTAACCTCAGGATAACACCCAAATTCTTAACCAATTTTCCCAACCCTGTGTGAACAGGACCTTGCACACTTTTCCAATTTTCTCTCTCTCTCCTCTTGCACTAGCCAGTGATTCTGCTTACAGTTTCACAAACATGCTGCAAAGCCTTTCATTTTTTGGTCGGACTAGGTGTTCCCTTTGCTTGGGTCTGCCTAATTCCTGCTTTTTTTTTTTTTTTTTTATACTTGGATTCCTGTTGGAAGTTTAGCCTGCTTTCCTGAAACTGGCTTTGCTCTTCCTCCTTTCTTTTCTCACAGATCCTTTCCTTCCTTCTCAAAGCACTTTTTGTAGTAGCTTCTATTCATCTGGCTCATGTATTTCTTTCTCACTACACTGTAACTTCAGAACATAAATGCCTATGTTTATGCTCCTCACTGTTCTATTTTCAAGGAGGAGCACAGAAGCTGGCATATTCTGGGCCTTCAAGCTGTATTTGTTGGATAGATGAAAAATAGGGATTCTTACAGTAACAATGCACACTGAGAGTGTCTCTCCATAGTGAGAGTTCAAGAGACAACACATACAAATTTAAAAAAAATTTACTTTTAAAATGTGTAACATTAGGTATGACACTAAAAAAGGTGTCCATCTCCCCTACTGGACACCAGGATCAATGAAGACAGCTACACTGGCTTACTTACTTTTCCCTCAAACAGTCTACGTTTGATCCCTGTTTGTTGAAATAGTGATTCACATAAAATGGATGAGAAAATGGAGACACAGAGAAGTGAAGGACTCTGTCTAGAATCACACAGCTGTCAAACTCTCGGGCTTAAGCCATTTCCATGCCTCTGCCTTCCAAAATGCTAGGATTACAAATGTAAGTCACCACACCAGCCAGCATCATATAACTAATTTGTTATTGCTTAAAAAGGAAAAAATGGAAAGTGAGCTGATGGAGAATGAAATATGGACAGAGGAAGATGATGGGAAGCTTTGAAGGGCTGCCCTTGACTCTGTGTGTGTGTGCGTGTGTGTGTGCGTGTGTGTGTGTGTGTGTGCATGTGCGTGCCCCTTATTCTCTCTTAAGCTACGTCTAACCTCATAGGGATCACTGGGGTCCCTGTCAGCCACAGCCACACACATCCACAGAAACCTTGACCTATTGACAGATGTAAGAGGGTGGCCTTTGAGAGTTCTGAATCCCTACCTCATAGGATTCTGGATATCTGGACACTTTCTTCTTACGCTGTTTCTGCATCGACCTTAGGGACTGTGTTTGGGGTGTTTCCTGCACTCATCTTGTGATAGAGTTCTATTTGCTCCTCAGATGGCCTCTTTTCCCTTGGAGTGGAACCGTGGCTATCAGGGTCTTGGGCCGAGCATCCATGAGTGACTGTGTGAGTTGCTAGAAGCAATCTTATACTTTCATAGCCACCCCACACTTCACAGTGATACTCATCTCTAAGAAATTATTCAAATTAAGAGAGAAAGCTACACATATAAACAATTGATGGACTTGATTGATTAACATGGAAAAGCATTAACTTTCCAGTTTTCTGCCTCTCACTGGAATTTTATCCCTACACTTTGAACTCATTTCAAACTTCTGGCTTAACTAGGAATTGCTATAGTCAGGCTATTCTAGACAGCTCCTGTGAGCCACTAGGATTCAGAGAATACAACACATCTTTTCCAATTTAAATATGTAGTTCTAGAAAAAAACTATTTTAAGGTCAGGCTTGGTGGCTCATGTCTGTAATCCCAGCACTTTGGGAGGCCGAGGCGGGCAGATCACTTGAGGTCAGGAGTTCGAGACCAGCCTGGCCAACATGGTGAAACCCAGTCTCTACTAAAAATACAAAAAATAAAAATAAAATTACCCAGGTGTGGTGACACATGCCTGTAATCTCAGCTACTTGGGAGGCTGAGGCATAAGAATTGCTTGAACCTGGGAGGTGGAGTTTACAGTGAGCCCAGATCATGCCACTGCACTCCAGCCTGGTGACACAGCAAGACTCCATCTAAAATAATAATAATAAATAAACAAATAAAAAGAAAAAGAAAAAACTATTCTAAAATTCATATGGAACCAAAAATAGCTAAGGCCATCCTAAGCAAAAAGAACAAAGCTGGAGGCATTATGCTATCTGACTTCAAACTATACTGCAGTGCTACAATAACCAAAACAGCATGGTATTGGTACATAAACAGACACATAGACCAATGGAACAGAAAGAGAACTCAGAAATGAGGCTGCACACCTACAGCTATTTTATGTTTGACAAACTTGACAAAAACAAGCAATGGGGAAAGAATTCCTTATTCAATAAATGGTGCTAGGATAACTGGCTAGTCATATGCAAAGATTGAAACGGGGCCCCCTTCCTTACACCATATACAAAAATTAACTCAAGATAGATTAAAGACTTAAATGTAAAACCCAAAACTATAAAAACTCTAGAAGACAACATAGGCAATACCATTCAGGACATAGGAATGGGAAGAGATTTCATGATGAGGACACCAAAAGCAATGACAACAAAAGCAAAAATTGACAAATGGGATCTAGTTAATCTAAAGAGCTTCTGCACAGCAAAGAAAACTAGCAACAGAGTAAATAGACAACCTACCCAATGGGAGAAAAGTTTTGCAAACTATGCATCTGACAGAGATCTAATATCCAGCATCTATAAGGAACTTAAAGAAATTTACAAGAAACAACCCCATTAACAAGTGGGCAAAGGAAATGAACAGACACTTCTCAAAAGAAGAAATACATACAACCAACAATCATATGAAAAAAGCTCATCATTGATTATTAGAAATGCAAATCAAAACCACAATGAAATACCATCTCACACCAGTCATAATGGTTATTATTAAAAAGTCAAAAAATAACAGGTGCTGGCCAGGTTGCTGAGAAAAAGGAACGCTTATACACTGTTGGTGGGAGTGTAAATTAGTTTAACCATTGTGGAATACAGTGTGGCAATTCCTCAAAGACCTAAAAACAGAAATACCATTCAGCCCAGCAATCCCATTACTGGGTATATACCCAAAGGAATAGAAATCATTCTGTTATAAAGACATATACATGTGTATGTTCATTGCAGCACTATTCACAACAGCAAAGACGTGGAATCAACCTAAATGCCTACCAATGGTAGACTAGATAAAGAAAATGTGGTACATATACATCATGGAATATTATGCAGCCATAAAAAAGAACAACATCATGTCCTTTGCAGGAACATGAATGGAGCTGGAGGTCATTATCCTTAGAAAACTAAGGCAGGAATGGAAAACCAAATACCACATATTCTCACTTATAAGTGGAAGTTAGATTATAACACATGGACACAAAGAGGGGAACAACAGAGACTGGGGCCTATTGGAGGCTGGGAGGAGGGCAAGGATTAGGAAAAATAACTAATGGGTACTAGGCTTAATACTTGAGTAATGAAATAATGTATACAATAAATCCCCATGATACAAGTTTACCTATATAACAAACCTGCACACGGACCCCTGAACTTAAAATAAAAGTTAAAAAAACATAAAGGTCTAGCTGGATCAGTGGGCTTCTAGGATCCTTCTTCAGTAATACTGAGGTAAATAGCACAAACCATGAGTTTACTCTTTTCATAATCCATGACACATCACACTTAATATTTGCTGAGTTTAAACAAGTCTCTTAAACACATCACTAGTTTACATCAGCTGTGGAATCTTTGCTTTGTCAATCAGGGGTCAACAAGCCCATCTACACTTGCCATCATTAACTAATGTGCAGGATTGTGTCTTATCAAATCAGCAGCCACCTTCTCTGCCGAGAAGCAAGGAGTATGTCTCCCAGAATCCCCTTCCCTGTGTAGTTCCGATTCACATTTTCCAATCAGAGAAACTTGCATGAGATATGGTGCCCAGAAGAGATGGAGAGACAGGCCTCTACCCATCAGTCGTGGCTGCAGGCAGAAGAGTAGGCAGATGTCAGGTTCTCAGTGGCTTCTGTGCTAGGCCAAAGACCCATCTGCTTTGCCTGTGCAGACCGAGATGAATGGTGGGAGCTTTCTCAGAGGTTCTGGAGAATGACAGCAATCTCCCAGCAGGGTTCTAGGAACCTCCCACCTGTGCTTCAGGCTAAGTTCTTCAGCACATGCTTCCCTGACCTCCCAGCTGCAGCCTCCAAGAGCTACAATGGTGACTGGTATTAGTATTCTGTTTCTGCTGTAACAAATTACTGCTATGAAGTGGCTTAAAACAACGCAAATTTATTATCTTACAGTTCTGGAGGTCAGAAGTCTGATATGGGTCTCTCTGGCCTAAAATAAGGGGTCATCAGGGCTGCATTCCTATGGCGGCTCTGAGGGAAAATCTGTTTCCTCACCTTCTCCACTTCTTAAGGCTGCCTGCATTCTTTGGCTCGTGGTTCCTTCCTCCATCTTCTAAAGTCAGCAGTCCCATCACTTTGACCTCTGATTCTGTTGTCACATCTCCCTCTCCAATTCTCACTCTGCTGCTACCTTTTTCACTTATAACGACCATTGTGATTGTATTGGACCTGCCTGAATAATACAGGATAATCTTCCCATCTCATGAGCCTCAACTTAATCACATCTGAAAACTTCCTTTTGTCATATTAGGTGACATTTTCACAAGTTCCAGGGGTTAGGACATAGGCATCTTGGGAGACCTTTATTTTGCCTACAACATGACTTCACCAATATTTGCTCTCCTAGATTTTCCAACATTAGTATAGGCTCTAATTCCTATATTGAACACGTTATTCCTAAAATGTTATACTAGAGTGTGGTGGTTTTCCTGGAAAAAGCTACACTAATACACTTCCTTACCTCAGAAGAGCTCAAAAGTTACCTTTCTATTATCTTTTTTTTTTTTTTTTTTTTTTGAGGGGAGTGTCGCTCTGTTGCCCAGGCTGGAGTGCAGCGGCGCGATCTCGGCTCACTGCAAGCTCCACCTCCTGGGTTCACTCCATTCTCCTGCCTCAGCCTCCCAAGTAGCTGGGACTACAGGCGCCCGCCACCATGCCTGGCTAATTTTTTTTTTTTTTTTTTTTTGTATTTTTAGTAGAGATGGGGTTTCACCGTGTTAGCCAGGATGGTCTCCATCTCCTGACCTCGTGAACCGCCTGCCTCGGCTTCCCAAAGTGCTGGGATTACAGGCGTGAGCCACCGCGCCCGGCCTACCTTTCTATTATCTTAAAGTCTCCAAATGGTACCACCATCTCAAGGTGCAATGGCTGTAATTTAAGCAACGACTTTGCGGGGGTGATGGAGGGAGACAAAAAGAAATGACTGGAAAGCACTTCTGATTCCATGCCCTGTCCCTGGTGTCTGGCCGTCTTGGACTCTAGGCTGCAGTTTCTCTCCTACATAAACCCAGTCATTTCTGAGTCTCCAAGAGTGTTTTATAGGATTCATGTCCACTTCTTGGCTCTGTCATCTTCTCTCTACCTTGTCTTATAGCTCCGCGCTTACATTTTCTTCTCACCTACTGCTATAGTCCTGCCTTGATTCTTCAGCCATTGTCCTCTTTTTACCTTGTGTATGCTTAAGCCAATTCTCCAAGAAGAAATTCCAGATGGCTCTTTATTGCTGTTTGTTTGTTACTATTTTTTATTTGGCTGAAGAGTTTTCAAGATTCTTAACTTTCTATTTTTAAAATTTTAGTGTACAAATAATACATGCTCAGAGTTGGAAATGAAATCATCACAATATGTATAAATATATTTTAAAATATCTTCTATCTCTAAATCTATGCCCACTTTACTAAGGTAATTTATGTTATCAATCTACTCTCTATGTGTCTACTTTCTCCATTTTCATACAAACATAGGCACCTATATTAAGTGTTGAGTGTTTTTACTTTGTAGCTTTTTTTTAGCAAAAGTCCTCAAATTTTATTTGTAGTTTAATCATTTTACAACAACTTGAGATATAATTTACATATCATAAAATTCACACATTCATTATATACAAGTCAGTGGTTTTTAGTATATTCACATAGTTGTGCCAACATTATCATTATCAATTCCAGAACATTTTCATCACCCCACAAAAAACCCCATACCCATTGGCAGCCACTCCTCATTTCCTCTCAACTCCCCTAGCCCTAGGCAGCCACTAACCTGTGTTCCATATCTACAGATTTGCCTATTCTGGAAATTTCACGTAAGGGAAATTATACGATATGTGGCCTTTCGTGTCTGGCTTCTTTCACTTACCGTAACATTTTCATGGTTCGTCTGGGTTGTAGCATGTGGCAGTACTTCACGTCTTTTTTATTACTGAATAATATTTCATTGTATGGATATATCACAATTTGCCTATTCATTTATTAGTTGATGGACATTTGGGTTCTTTCTATTTTGTGCTATTATTAATAATGCAGCCGTAAGCATTTGCGTATAGGTGTTTGTGTGGACAGATGTTTTTGTTTCTCTTGGGTATGCTGTATACCTAGGAGGGGATAGCTGGGTCATATGCTAACTTAGTGTTTGACATTTTGAGGAAGTGCTGGCCTGTTTTCTAAAGGGGCTTCACCTCTTTATATTCCCACCAGCAGTATATGAAGCTTCCAGTTTCTCTGCATCCTCATCGGTGTTCATTATTATCTTTTTATTGTAGCCATTCTAGTGGGTGGTTACAACTAAGGGAAAAAATCAAACTTTAAAGAATTAACTTAGTTTTATTTGGAAATCTTACTGAGGACTATAGACGGAGGCCTACAACCCAAGAACAGCCCTTTAGAGAGGCTCTATCAGACTGTACCAGCTCAGTATTTCAGCCCACTGCTTATATTATAGGTGTTCTGTATTGCAACATCACATCACACTTGGTAAGAAGTTACATTAAAGCAGAATCACATCAAAGTTTGGAAGCAGGAATACGTCCAGTGTAGATTACAGAAGCATGATCACTATGCCCGTCAGACATTATCTTATGTGCAGGGAAAAGCAAGGGCATTCATCTTTTAAGGAATATAGTGGCTTAGGCAAGAGACGTTGGGGGCTGTGTGCTTTATCCTGTTTTGTCCTCAAAGCATCTTTCCAGAGAGTTGCACATCCTCACGATGAACTAGGAGGATGTGCAACTCTCACAGGGACTTTGTGAAATTATGCTGGCAAGTAAAAGTCAGCTTCTGACATTTACTACTTTGTCTCACAGTGTGAAATACTATCGCATTGTAGGGCCGATTTGCATTTTCCTGATGGTTAATGATGTTGAACATGTTTCCACGTGCTTATTGGCCTTTTGTATATTTTCACTGGAGAACTGTAAATCCAAATCCTTTATTTTTAAATTTGATTATTTGCCTTTTTACTATTGAGTTATAACCGGTTTTATATATTATAGACAAAATTTTCTCTTTTACCATATGTATGATTTGCAAAAATTTTCTCCCATTCTGTGGGGTTTTTTTTTTTCACTTTCTTGATGGCATCTGTAAACATACAAAAGTTTTTAAATGCGATGACGTCCAGTTTATCTTTTTCTTCTTTTTTTGCTTATGCTTTTGGTGTCACATTTAAGATTAGGTGCCTTTACTTAATCCAAAGCCATGAAGATTTATGCCTATGTTTTATTTTCTTTCTTTCTTTCTTTTTTCTTCTTCCTCTCTTCCTCCCTTCCTTCCTCCCTCCCTTCCTTCCTTCTTTCCTTCCTTCCTTCCTTACTTTCTTTCCTTTTTTTTCCTTGAGACACAGTCTCACTCTGTCACCCAGGCTGGAGTGCAGTGGTGCAATCACGGTTCATTGCAGCCTCAACTTCCTCAGGCTCAAGTGATTCTCCCACCTCAGCCTCCTGAGTAGGTGAAACTACAGGTGCATGCCACCACACCCGGCTAAATTTTGTATTTTTTGTAGAGACAGGGTTTTGCCATGCTGCCCAGTTTGGTCTACCAACTCCTGGGCTCAAGCAATCTGCCCACTTTGGCCTCCCAAAATGCTGGGATTACAGACATGAGCCATCGTGCCTGGCCTGTTTCCTTCTAAGAGTTTTCTAATGTTAACTCTTTCACTTAGGTCTTTGATACATTTTGAGCTACTTTTTATATATAGTTTCAAGATTTTCATTTTTCATTTTTCATTCATTGATACTGTATAGAAACACAATTGATTTTTATATTTTGATTTTGTATCCTGCCAATGTGATAAAATTCTTTAGTTGTAATGCTTTTTTAAAGTAAATTCTTTTGGATTTCTATGTATAAGATCATATCATCTGTAACGAAGGTAGTTTTACTTCTTTCTTTTCAATTCAGATGAGCTTTATTTTATTTTCTTGTTCATTGTAGCAAAAAATTCAACTATTCTATTTATAATGCCCTGTTACTTGATGTTTTTTATTTATATTGTGAACATCTCACCAATTTCATAGAGAAAGCTTGAGCTCATCATTTTAAACCCTAATTCCATAGTATTTTGCATGCAACTGCTTCTCTAGTGTAAATATTCAGATGGTTTCCTTTAGTTGTCACTACACTGAATGTCCACTGCACAGACATCTTTACACACATATCCTTACAGCCATCCCAGAGTTTTCTGATTTCCCACAGCACTACATGATAGTGGTTAATCTGATGATCTAACTGACTAGCTAGGCAGACTGACTGACTGACAATCCCATTGCTTCTGTATATAAAGTCAGTAACTACATTTGGAACTCAGCTTCTCTAGGCCCAGCCACGCTTACTTTCCTAGTCTTAGAGGTTCCCTCTCTGCCTCTAAATTTCTCTGTCCCTGAAACCACCCTTGTACTCCAGCCCAAGAGCGCTTGCAAACAGGTAGAAGGTATCATCTGGAGAAGGTAAGTAAGAGACTTATCTCCATTCCCTTCATATCTAATTACCAAATCTTCCATCTAGCTCAGTCAGGTTGAGTTGAAAACATCTTGACTTTAGTCATTTAGCCACTGAGCACATCATAGCTCTTTTCATACCTCAGTCTTATTCAAATATTTAATTTATCAAGCTCACTTATAAATGCCAAGCCTCTCATTTGGCCACCTCTGACCCTACAGCTCCAAAGCCCCTCCCATTTTGAGAACATGCTCTTGCCAGGCCAGTCTCCTCATTGCCCCCTGATTATCCATCACTCTGTCCGTTTCTGCGCCTTTGCTCATTCTGAACTTCTTGTCAATTCTCAAGTGTCAGCAGCCACCTCTAGTTGCAACAGAGTGGACTTTGCTTAATCTTATTGCCCTCTCAACCTCTCTAGGGCATTCTATAGGTAGAATCCTCCTTTTTGTGGTCCCTAAGTTGGCCTGGATATTACACTCTAAAGTCTAGAATGCAGTCATGCCAAATCCCACGGAGAACCTTTTATAAGTAACTATTTCTGGCCCTCTCCTAGGCCTACAGAATCAATCTCCGGAAGCAGAACACTTCACTCTTAAAAATTCTTGGGGGATTGTGAGCAGCTAGTCAATGGATCTGGGGTTGGTGTCCACCATACCACACTCCAAGTCCTCCTAGTTTCTGCTTTCCTCAGTCAGTTAATCTGCGAGCTACCTTGCTTCTCATCCTCTCTTCTGTGAGAGGTCAGGCACCATGTTCTGGCAGTTTTCCCAAACATTCCTCTACATTCTTAGCCCCACTGGTCTCCCCTCACTTATGGACCTTTTATCATTTTATCTAACGGATAAAGGTTTGTGTTTATGTTCTTGCTTATGCTTCCTTCCATCCCTTCCAAATTTTAACCTTCGTATATGCATTTATTTAACAAGTATTGACAGCTTACTAATTGGAGGAATTGCATTAGGTGCTATGATTCAATTTCCCCAAACATGTTTTTCATATTCTTATATGTATTTAAAAAACCACTGCATCGGGGTGACAGAATAAGGTTTTAAAATTCTAATATTAGACTGTCCACTACATTGTCTCAGTCTATCTTTCTGTTCAGTCAGTTAATTATTAGGATAAGAAGATACCATCAATCTGATTTTTCCCCCATATTTTTAAAGGAGAGGAGAGAGAACAATTTGGAAGGTCAAGAAGTTGGTATGCCCAGGAGCTCACAACTCTCACCTTTGGGGTTTTATGGAATATTTTTAGGCCTTATTTATTTATTAGTAAAAAAAAAAACAGAATAATGAGTTCTTCTCTGACAACTGTACAGGATTGTAAGGATCAAGTGTGTTTATGTGTATGAAGCACCATGAATATTATATATAATGTAATTGCAATAGAATATATATAGAAGTAGAAATCATATTTTGAAATAACAAGTGGCAGAAATATATATTGAAAAATATTAGTGGAGGATGTCACAAAGTTTGAGTTACTTGTTTTTCATTTCATTTTAAAATAAGCATATCTGAGTATGATGAGTTCTAAGGATTCCTTTCAGGGCAAAAATTGAGGCTACCCCATTGCAGTTGTCCAGTCTTTCCACAGGATGGCAAAGTATAGCCAGTATTTCTTTGAAATGTTTGCTTGCTTATGCCACTAAATTTTGAACTTAGCCTTCTAGAAATGAGTTTATAACTTATCTTTCTTGAAGGTAATCTCAGAGTACCTATGAAAAGACATCTATAAAATACTTTTGCAAAAATACCTAATACATCAAATGTGTGCTCACCACATCTCATCAAAGCAAAGTGTAAAACGTTCTCAGGGACCTGTAGAGCTAAAATGTCACCTTCTATGTTCAAGATATATGTTGAATTCTATGTCCGATTTCTTCTCATTATTGGACTTAATTCTGTAAAACATGAGGCTTGAACTTTTCATGAACTGATTGGTGCATCCTCTGCTTAATTGATTCTTCCCATTTGACTTGGAGGATGGTGTTGGCCAGAGGTCCTTTTTTGCGGAGGCCTTTAAAGATATTTATTCAGAAGAATGTACCACATGAGGCATTTGACTAATAAAAACACTGTTATTAACACTGACAATAAGCAAACACATATTTCTTTAGCTGTCTTGCAATTGGTACATTCTCCTCTTCCCATTGAGGAAGTATCTGCTCTACCCTTGCTTCAGATTAAACATTTTGAAACTCTCAGTTTTAACATTATTGAGCCTTACTATTATTGAAATAATTCTTTTCCCAAAACACCAGACTACACTCAAACTCCAGAAGATGCCCCTAACCAAGACTAATATTCTGACATCAAAGGAAATCTGTGGATAAGATATTGGGAACTTCTGAAAAATTTTAGTAGGGCTATGCCTAGAGAATTTTCATGATCTTAACAAATCTTGCTCATTCAGCAAGTCCTTAGAGAGCCTTCATGGGAACCTATGAAAAAGAAAGTCCTCAATGTATTACATGGAAAATAACGATAGCAACAACTATAATAATAATAGTGGCTGCATTTAAAGGGCACTTGCTGTATTCCAGGCATTGGCTTAAGTACCTACATAAGTTATTTTGTTCAGTATTTATCACAACCATATGAAAAAAATGTTCTTATCCACAATAAAGAAATGAAGTTTAGGCTGGGTGTTGTGGCTCACACCTGTAATCCCAGCACTTTGGGAGGCCGAGGAGGGCGGATCACCTGAGGTCAAGAGTTCGAGACAAGCCTGGCTAACATGGTGAAATCCTGTCTCTACTAAAAATACAAAATTAGCTGGGCTTGGTGGCGGGTGCCTGTAATTCCAGCTACTTGGGAGGCTGAGGCGGGAGAAACACTTGAACCCGGGAGGCAGAGGTTGTGGTGAGCTAAGATTGCACCATTGCACTCCAGTCTGGGCAAAGAGAGCAAAACTCTGTCTCAAAAGAAAGAAAGAAGGAAGGAAGGAGGGAGGGAGGGAAGGAAGGAAGGAAGGAAGGAAGGAAGGAAGGAAGGAAGGAAGTAAGTCAAGAAGTCTACAAAGTATAGGTAACTTGCTCAAGAAAATTAGGTTCAGAAAGTTTAAGTAACTTGCCCAGGGTAACACAATTATGAAGATTTGAGGCCAGAATTCAGTTCCAGGCAGTTTTGTTCTAGATCTATTGCTCTTCAGCCACTATAGTGTCATGCCAAGACTGGCCTAAAGTCGTGTCTTCTGCTCAAACAGGTCCTTCTATGGCAATGACCATGAAATACATGGCTAATAAAGTATTAGGGGCAGGAAGAGGGGGAAGAAGAATGCAGTATTTGAGACTATGGTTACTGACTATATTTAAAATCACAGTTTCATGACTATTAAGGTTCTTTTTAAACTTTTCTCCCTGATGTATCATGGTATCCAGGTGAAAGAGGATCTGGCTCCCTACATCCCAGGACGTGTAGAACTGTCCATGGTTCTGAAAGACAAACTAGCAGGTCCCACCACCTTTACAAATGGCAATCTTACTGTGGAAAACTGCACTAGTGAAAACTCTACATATGACTTTGTACATGCATCACTTACAAGGATTCAGCAATCCTTGGAAAGATGACATAGAAAGACCCACAGAATATTCCCTTTATATGCCCTATACTAAAATGTACAAAGCAAAATCAAATTAGACAACACTATGATTTAGAAGTTTATCTTGAAATTTTAGATCAGAATGTAAAGAAAAGAAATCCAGCATTATTGTATGGACAAGAGAGAATGGATATAGATTTTAACTAACTATATATTCCCTCAAAACTCATATGCTGTCCTTTTTAACCTCACCTTAATTTAAATTTAACCACACATTTACTTTCATTTTTGATTTTTATTTTGTATTTATGTTTTCTTTTATCTTGTATCTTCCAACCAGGATTTCGCCTTTTGCCTGAAGCATATTCTTTAGAACTCCCTTCAGTAAAAGCGTGTTTGTGTCAAATTGTCTTTGCTTGGAAAAAATCCATTGAGACTTGATTTTTATATTATCATGTATTTCATTTCTAAATGTTTTATATTTGTCTTTTCAATTTTTCCTGAACATTATTTGTAGTTTCTGATTAACTGGAAGTCTTTTAAAGCCTGTTTTTTAATCACAGGAAGCAGGGCTATTTTATGTCTTATTCTTATTATTCTGCTGTATGGTGTTTCTGCTTGATCTTTCATGGTGACTTGTATCTTGTAAATAGTTTTGTTGTTGTTTTCCTGGTAAGTGCTCATTTTGCTTATGGAATAATTTTAGGAAATTTTAAGTGTGGTTGATGACATCTTCCTCCAGAGAGGATTTGTGTTTGTTTTGCGTGTTATTTGCGTTTGTTTTTTGACAGGTTCCTTGGAGCCTGGCCCACTATAAACTGAATTCACAACTTGATGATTGCCAGACAATCCAGGTAGTGAGAACTTGGGCTGCAAATACATGTGTGGGGCCATTGTGTTTACTCCCAGTTCCACTCAGCACCAAGGCAGCTGTTCCTGCAGTCCTTTGAGCATGGGGCATTTCTCTTACACCGAGGAACTGAACTTAGGGGTCCCAGCAAAATGGAGGAGATCATCCTAGGAGATTTCCCACTTTGAGTGCTACTTGAGACTTGCCTCCTATTCCAAATTCCTTATGAGGCCATGGAAACTAAAGCTTAACTTGTCTACATTGAGCAAATGAGCTCAGGATAAAAGTAAATTCAGAGCTTCCTGATATTTATTAGACAGTTTTCACTGATGTGAAAGCCTCTCAGTGCTTTTATGATGTATTTTATCTTTTGATAACCCATTTTTTGTTAGCATGAGAGTAGGCGTAGATACCTAATATGCCACATTAGTGGTTCACACCTTATCCTTAAAGCTCCTTATCACAAACCTTCCCATCTTGTTCCTTTGAAGTCATTGAATACCTGAGCAAACTATTAGTCACTACCCATGCATTGATGAGGATCTAACAATAAGATATTTCTTTAGGCAAAATGAACTTCCAGATGGTCTGATTGAAAATCTTCCTGCTGGAGGTACTTTCCTTTCCACTCTTCTTTATGACAATTCCTGAAAAGGGCTGTAATGCTGCAAAGTACACTTTTGGGTATTCAAAGCATATTCAAATTTCTTCTTCTATAGTCAACAGTCCTTAGGGAACTCCTCAAGACCCCAAGGATGAGACAAGGGAGAGTGGATTTACCGGTGGTAATAAGAATACTAGGAATATAGTACATATTATGAGGCAACTTAGCTGGCCTTGCTAAGGACCAGCTCAGGTCTGATACTGTATGTATATACAGTATATATATCCACTTCCTCCTGAATGCTCACTGAGTGCTGGTGACCATAAGTGAATAAATAAAATCCAGGTCATGGTGGACATCTCAAGTCACTTGGTCATTTGCTGTATCATGATCATGGCATTCAGAATCTACCAGGGCTCAGTAGCAAGCCAGGAACTGTTATTTAGTAGAAGAATAAAGAATAAAGCTTTTCTTCGAAGCCCTGGAACTTGAGCAGTGAGCTCCTATGCCTGTTTCACACACACACACACACACACACACACACGCACACACACACACACACGCGCACACACACACACACACACACACACACACACATATCCAAGGAAGCATTTAGGCCAAATGGCAGATATGTTTGATGCCTGCCTGGATCAGAATGACATTTCCATTTCTTATGGAATGTTTTGAACTTGTACTAACTTACCGGATTTTGGTGCAGAGAAATCCCCTCACAAGATAAGAAATCACATTTTTTCTTTGTTGAAATTATTTATCTTCATTAACGTTTAATAACACCGGTGCAGTTATTTTTCAAAGAGCTTGTACTCCAATCTTGGAGGAATTCCTTGAGTTGAAAAGCCCAGGGCCTGAATAATGAGGGAGTCTCATTTCCAACAGCTTCCAATCAGCTGTAGGATTGAATGAAGACACATGTGATTGCATGATTTTAAGAGAGGGTAGGGGAGAGGGGCAGTGCTTGTTTCACACTTAACTGAACTACTTCCTTGGCCTCCACTCAAATTTAACTGCAGCATTGGTGACTTGATTTACAGAGTCAGAAATTTCCTAGGTATGGAATGTGCTGTCTTAAATAGTAATGAGTCCAATCTATGTAGAGTGTCCTTCTTTATCATTGGGGGTCATATGAAGTCAGCGATTCTTTTAGAAATTTGGGGTTACAAACAGAAGGCCTCAACTTACTTCAATTTGAAAAACCTGAACAAGGAATCTCTGGTGTCTGGATCCTTATTTGTCTCACAAAATTGAATTGTGAGCTGTGACATTTTCTCCCAAAAGTCTCTTTTAGGACAGAACTTCTGGTAATGGCAACATGAACAGGTAGATCAGCAAGTCTTCCTCTAAATAGCAATATGAGAACTGGACAAAATCATAAAAATAAATATTTGAAGTCACTGGAAAACAAACAAAGGCGAGCAGAAATGTAATAGTGCTTTGATCTTGAGACTATCTATTGGGTAAAAGCTGCAAGTTGGTGGCCTTTCCTCCTTACCTATGAGTTTGCTCCAAACTCCCAGCAGGTAACTGCAGCCCTAATGGATCAATAGGGCAGTTTATAGAGTTAAAAGCCCAAATAAGCTAAAAATGTTTACATTTTTACATGTTTACATCAGTCAGGCAATTTTGAAAGAGATCTGCTGAAGAATTCAGATTCAAAATCTGAATACAAACTATGCTCACATCCCTGGTTGAACACTAAACTCCCCATGGGTGTGGGACACTCAGGGGAACCTGGGGAAAAATCAGAAAGAACCTAGAGTGAGGTCTACCCTTGAAAGAGTGAAATAATCCTGGCAATATCTGAAAGTCTGCAGTAACATAGACTGCTTGCATTTGTCAACCTGCATACAACACAGGCAGAAGAAAGCAAAAATCTTACTGGACTGAGGGGTGAAAAGGCAGGATGCAGGACAATTTAGAGGGGATTCCAGAAGCAAAACAAACACAGAGAAGCTGAATTGCAAAATCTTAGCAGAAATAGCCCCAGTACTTGTTAGTCCATGTTGTGTTGCTATAAATACCTGAGAGTGGGTAATTTATAAAGAAAAGAGGTTTATTTGGCTCATGGCTATATAGGTTGTACAAACATGGCACCAGCATCTCTTCAGCTTCTGGTGAGACCTCAGGAGCCTTTTACTCCTGGTGGAAGGGGAAGGGGGACCAGGCATGTCACATGGCAAAAGAGGAACAGGGTGGGAGGAGCCAGATTCTTCTAAACAACCAACTCTCTTTCAAAATAATAGAGCAGGGGCCGGATGTGGTGGCTCATGCCTGTAATCCCAGCACTTTGGGAGGCCGAGGCGGGTGGATCACGAGGTCAGGAGTTCGAGACCAGCCTGGCCAATATGGTGAAACCCCATCCTTACTAAAAATACAAAAATTAGCTTGGCATGGTGGCATGTGCCTGTAGTCCCAGCTACTCAGGAGGCTGAGGCAGAAGAATCACTTGAACCCAGGAGGTGGAGGTTGCAGTGAGCCAAGATCGCACCACTGCTCTCCAGGCTGGGCAACAGAGCGAGACTCTGTCTCAAAATAATAATAATAATAATAATAATAATAAAGCGAAGAGAACTTACTTATGACTGTGGGGAGGGCACCAAGCCATTCATGAGGGATCTACCCCCATGACCCAAACAGCTTCCACTAGGCCCCACCTGCAGCATTGGGGATTACATTTCAACATGAGGTTTGGCAGGGACAAATATTACAAAGATGCAGAGTAGACACCCAGAGCCCCCTGCTGAAAATGCAGCAACTGGATATCGGTAAACAGAGCAGAGACATCAGCTGTAGCCAACTGCAGGGGTAACAGATTTCACAGTTACCAGTGCAGGGAAAGTTAACCACGTTCACTGAGGGGCAGGGGTGGTGGTGGTGGGAGAATTGCCATCTTTAGAGAGATTGTTGTAGATTCCAGACTCTCTAAAACAAAACATATAATGTCCACTTTATCAAATAGGATCAGACATAGAAAGAAAAGAAAGAAATGTGTGACTATAATAAGGAGGAAATTAAAAATAAATGGGTTTCAATGGGTCCAGATATTGAAATTATCAGCAAACTCTTTAAGACAGTTTTGAAAAATATGTGGAAAGAAATGAAGGAAATATCATTTCTAAAGAGTGAATAGAAGTAATTGCAGCAGAGAAATGAAAACTATAGATGGTACTAAGTGGAAATTCTCAAACTGGATAGAAAAATAATGACAGTGCTCTGGATGAGGTCAACAGAAGTTTTGAGATGGCAGAATAAAGAATCAGTCAGTGTCCTTGAATATAAATCAACAGAAATTGTCTAATCTAAAAATAAAAAAGAGTGAAATAAGATTAAAGAAAAGTGAAGAAAACTTCACAAACCCTCAGAAAATATAAAGCAGGTAAACAGGTGACCAATTGGAGTCCCAAAAGAAGATAGACACAGGATCAGAAAAAAAATTCAAAAAAATCTATGGCTGAAAGATTCCCAAATTTGATGAAGAATTTTAGCTTATAGATGTAAGACACTCATCAAAGCTGAATACCCACATAGAAAATCATGGGTAGAGTGGCCATGGCCTTGGCTGGCCTGAGGGTGTGTCGCTAGCCCTGCTGCATGTGGTGTGGTGCAGGGTGCCAGTGCCTGGTGGGACCAGAGAGCTCCCAGCACAGCCTTTGGGCAGGTGGGACCGCCGATCATTTTAAAATAATTTTTTATTGATTTAACTTATATTTTGAGTTCAGGCATACATGTGCAGGTTTATTATATAGGTAAACTTGTATCATGGGGTTTGCTGTACAGATTATTTTGTTACCTAGGCATTAAGCCTAGTACCTATTAGTTACTTTTCCTGATCCTCTCCCTCCTCCCAGCCTCCACTCTCTGGTAGGCCCCAGTGTGTGCAGTTCCCTTCTATATGTCCATGTGTTCTCATCATTTAGCTCCCACTTATAAGTGAGAACATGTGGTATTCGGTTTTCTTTTCCCGCATTAATTTGCTAAGGATAATGGCCTCCAGCTCCATCCATGTTCCGCAAAGGACAAGAACTCATTCTTTTTTATGGCCACATAGTATTCCATGATGTATATGCACTACATTTTCTTAAAAGAGAGCAGGAGTGGCTATTCTTATACAAAACAAAAACAGACTTTAAAGCAACAACAGTAAAAAAAAAAAAAAAGACAAAGAAGGACATTATATAATGATAGAATGATAATTCCAACAAGAAGATATCACAGTCCTAAATTTATATGCACCTAACAGTGGAGCTCCCAGCTTTATAAAACAGTTACTACTAGACTTAAGAAATGAGATAGACAGCAAGACAATAATAGCAGGGGACATCAATACTCCACTGATAGCTCTAGACAGATCATCAAGACACAAAGTCAACAAAGAAACAATGATCTTAAACCATATCCTACAACAAATGGACTTAACAGATATTTACAGAACATTTCTTCCCAGTAACTGTAGAATATACATTCTTCTCATCAGCACATGGAACATTCTCCAAGATAGACCATATGATAGACCTCAACACAAGTCTAAACAAATTTAAGAAAACTGAAATCCTATAAAGTATCTTCACAGACCAGAGTGGAATAAAACTGGAAATCAACTCCAAAATGAAACTTAAAAACTGTATGAGTACATGGAAATTAAATAACCTATTCTTGGATGATTTTTCAGTTAACAATGAAATCAAGATGGAAATTTAAAAATTCTCTGAAATGAATGATAATAGTGTCACAAGTAATCAAAATCTCTGGGATATAGCCAAAGCAGTGAAAATAAGAAAGTTCATAGCAATAAGTGCTGACTTAAAAAAGCCTGAAAGAGCCCGGGCACAGTGGCTTATGCCTGTAATCCCAGCACTTTGAGAGGCTGAGGCAGGTGGATCAGTTAAGGTCAGGGGTTTGAGACCAGCCTGACCAACATGGTGAAACCTTGTCTCTACTAAAAATACAAAAATTAGCTAGGCGTGGTGGCACGCGCCTTTAATCCCAGCTACTCAGGAGGCTGAGGAAGGAGAATCACTTGAATCCAGGAGGTCGAGGTTGCAGTGAGCTGAGATTGCGCCACTGCACTCCAGCCTGGGCAACAGAGTGAGACTTCATCTGGGAAGGAAAAAAAAAATCTGAATAAGCACAAATTGAAAACCTAATGTCACACCTCAAGGAACTGGAGAGATAAAAACAAATGAAACCCAAAGCCAGCATAAAAAAGAAATAATAAAGATCAGAGCAGAAATAAATGAAACTGAAACAAAAATAATACAAGAGATAAATGAAAAAAAAGTTGGGTCTTTGAAAAGGTAAACAAAATCAATAGACCATTGGTGAGGTTAACCAAGAAAAGGAGAGAAGATCCAAATAAGCTCAATTAGAAAACAAACTGGAGATATTACAACTAATACCACAGAAACACAAAAGTTAATTCAAGGCTACTATGAACACCTTTACACACACCAGCTAGAAAATCTAAAAACTGATGAATTCCTGGAAACATACAACCCTCCTAGACTAAATCAGGAAGAAATAGAAATCATGAGCAGACCAATAACAAGCAGTGAGACTGAAACAGTAATAAAAAAAACTGTCAACAAAAAAAAGCCTAGGACCAGATGGGTTCCCAGACAAATTCCATTAGACATTCAAAAAATTGGTACCAATCCTACTGAAACTATTCCAAAAGATAGAGAAAAAGGGAATCCTCCCTAAATCATTCTATGAAGACAGTATCACCCTAATGCCAAAAGTAGGAAAGGACATAACAAAAAAGAAAAATACAGACAAATATCCCCAATGAACATACATGCAAAAATGTTCAACACAATACTAGCTAACCAAATCCAGTAGCCTATCAAAAAAATAATACACCATGTTGAAGTGGGTTTCATCCCAGGGATGCAGAGATGGTTTAACATATGCAAGTCAATAAATGTGATACACCACATAAACAGAATTAAAAACAACAATCATATGATTATCTCAATAGATGCAGAAAAAGCATTTGATAAAATCTAGCATTGCTTTATGATAAAAACCTTCAACAAAATAGGCATAGAAGGGACTTACCTCAAAGTCATGAAAGTCATATATGACAAACTCACAGCCAACATCATAGTGAATGGGGAAAAGTTGAAAGCATTCCTCCAAGGACTGAAACAAGGCAAGGATGCCCACGTGCACCACTTCTATTCAACACAGTATTGCAAGTTCTAGCCAGAGCAATCAAGCAAGAGAAAGAAATAATGGGCATCCAAATTAGAAAAGAGGAAGTCAAACTGTCCCTGTTCACTGATGATATGATCGTATACCTAGAAAATACTAAGACTCATCCAAAAGACCCATAGATCTGATAAACAAATTTAGTAAAGTCTCAGGTCACAAAATCAATGTACACAAATCAGGAGCATTGCTATACACCAACAACGACCAAGTGAGAATCAAATCAAGAACTCAATCCCTTTTACAACAGCTGCAAAAACAAACAACAACAACAACAACAAAAACCTCCAAAAAAACAACACCCCCCAAAACCTAGGAATATACTTAACCAAGGAGGTGAAAGATCTCTGCAAGGAAAACTAAAAAACACTGCTGAAAGAAATCATAGATGACACAAACACATGGAAACACATCCCATGCTCATAGATGAATAGAATCAATATTGTGAAAATGACCATACTGCCCAAAGCAATCTATAGATTCAGTGCAATTTTCATCAAAATACCATCATCATTCTTCACAGAACTGGAGCAAACAACCCCAAAATTCATGTGGAACCAAAAAAGAGCCCACGTATCCAAAGCAATACTAAGCAAAAATAACAAATCTGGAAGCGACCCATTAACAGACTTCAAGTTACACTACGAGGCTATCGTTACCAAAACAGCATCATACTGGTATAAAATAGGCACTTCAGCTGGGCACGGTGGCTCACGCCTGTAATCCCAGCACTTCGGGAGGTAGAGGCAGACAAATCACCTGAGGTCAAGAGTTCGAGACTAGCCTAGCCAACATGATAAAACACCATCTCTACTAAAAATACAAAAAAAATTATCTGGGCGTGGTGGTGGGCACCTGTAATCCCAGCTATTTAGGAGGCTGAGGCAGGAGAATCACTTGAACCTGGGAGGCAGAGGTTGCAATGAGCTGAGATCGTGCCATTGCACTCCAGTCTGGGCAACAAGAGTGAAACTCCATCTCAAAATAAGATAAAATAAAAAATAGGCGCTTAGACCAATGGAATGGAATAGACAATCCAGAAATAAAGCCAGATGCCAACAGCTAACTGATCTTTGACAAAGCATACAAAAACATAAATTGGGAAAAGCACATCCTATTCAATAGAGAGTGCTGGGAAAACTGGCAAGCCACATATAGAATGAAACTGTATCTCCATCTCTCACTTTATATAAATGTCAACTCAAAATGGATCAAAGACTTAAACCTAAAACCTAAAACCTAAAACCATAAAAATCTTAGAAGATAACATGATAACATTAAAAAACTCTTCTGGACATTGGCTTAGGCAAAAAATTCATGACTAAGACCCCGAAAACAAACACAACAAAAATAAAAATAAATAAATGAGACCTGGTTGAATGATAAAGCTTCTACACAGCAAAAGAAATAATCAGCAGAGTAAACAGACAACCCACACAGTAGGGGAAAATATTCACAGACTATACATCCAACAAAGGACTAATATCCAGAATCTACAAGGAACGCAAAGAAATCAGCAAGAAAAAAACAAATAATCCCATCAAAAACTGGGCAAAGGACATGAATTGACAGTTCTCAAAAGAAGATATACAAATAGCCAACAATCATGAAAAATTGCTCAAGATAACTAATCATCAGGGAAATGCAAATTATAAGTACAAGATACCACCTTACTCCTGCAAAAATTGCCATAATTAAAAAATTTTTAAAAACCACAGTAGATGTTTGTGTGGATGTGGTGAAAAGGGAACACTTTTGCACTGCTGGTGGGAATGTAGATTAGTAAAACCACTTTGGAAAGCAGTATGGACATTATTTAAAGAACTGCAAGTAGATCTACCATTCAATCCAGCAATCCCACTGCTGGATATCTACCCAAAGGAAGTCATTATATGAAAACGACACATGCACGTGCATGTTTACAGCAGCACACTTCACGATTGCAATGACATGAAAACAAAGTAAGTGTCCATCGACCAACAAGTGGACAAAGAAAATGTGGTATATGTACACCATGGAGTATTACTTAGCCATAACAAGGAACAAAATAATGTGTTTTGCAACAACCTAGATGGAGATGGAGGCCATTATTCTAAGTGAGGTAACTCAGGAATGGAAAACCAAATACTGTATGTTCTCACTTATAAGTGGGAGCTAAGCTAGGAGGATGCAAAGACATATAGAGCGATATAATGGACTTTGGGGACTCAAGGGACAGGCTGAGAGGGGAGTGAGATAAAAGACTACATATTGGGTACAGTGTATATTGCTTGGGTGACAGGTGCACTAAAGTCTCAGAATTCACCACTAAAGAACTCATCCATTAAACCAAAACCCACCTGTACCCCAAAAAACTATTGAAATAAAATAAAACTTCATAGGGCAAACAACAACAAAAACAACAACAACAAAGAAAATAAATAAATCATACAAAAAATATTTAAGATCTCTGAAATCCAAGACACTAGAAATCAAGAGACACTGTGGAAAGAGTACATAGAAGACCTAAATAAATAGATCCCCTGTTCATGGGGAGCAAGATTTAACATTGTTAAAATGCAACACTCCCCAAATTAACCCAGAGATTTAAAAAAAAACTAACAAAATTCTAGGAGGCTTTTTGATAGAAATTTATGAGCTGATTTACAAATTTATATGAAAACATAAAAGGTCTAGAATAACTCATGCAATTTATTTTTTAAAAATTTTAGAGAAAGAGTCTTTCTATATTACCCCATGTTGGCTTCTAACTTCTGGGCTCAAGGGATCCATCCACCTCAGCCCCCAGGTAGCTGAGACTACAGTCATGCACTACCATGTGCAGCTAATTTTTCATTTTTTTTCAGGACAAGTTTTGCTATGTTGTCCGGGTTAGTCTTGAACTCCTGGGCTCAAGGTGTCCTCCCATCTCAGTCTCTTGAGTAGCTGAGACTACAGGCATGTTATCATAGTCAGTACAATTTAAGTAATTTCTAAAAAGATGAACAAAGTTATAGGAGTTATTTTGACTAAAAAAGCTGAGATAATTTATTATGTTAATAAATATTCTTGTACAATTACACCTATTAATTACTTTTAAAATTTCTGCTTCACATCTCTGCAACCTTGGGCTTAGTGGATTTCCCAGGAAAGAAATGCTTCCACCAAATAAGAACCTCAGCTGGCCATTTTATATTTCCATAAAATATAGTGGTATGAGGGTTCTAATTTCTGCTTATCTTTCCTAACATTTATTTTCATTTTAAAAAAATTATTATTATAGCCATATTATTGTGGTTTAATTTGCATTTCTTTAATGGCTAATGATGTTGAGTATCTTTTCCTGTGTATATTGGCGGTTTATGTATCTTCTTTGAAGAAATGACTTTTCAATTTCTTTGCCCATTTTGTAATGGGATTATTTGTCATTTTGTTATTGATGTTTAAAGGGTTCTTTGTGTATCCAAACACTTGACCCATATGAGATATGTAATAGGCAAATATTTTCTGCCATTGTATGGATTGCCTTTTCACTGTATTGATAGTGTTCTCTGATGCATAAAAGTTTTGGTTTGATGAAGTTCAATTTATCTATTCGACTCTATAACCATACCCAGGGCAGGATCAGGAAAACAAGGACAGGAGACGTGCAGGGGCTGGACCACCTTCCCTCTTGGGTGACTGGAGGTCTGTCCTCAGCAGTCTTTCCCTTCTGACCTATGACTTCTGGGAATCGGGTCCCCATCTCTAGAATCATCAAGGTGATGACTGGTCCTTTATTTTCACAAGTGCTTTACGTTACAGAAATTTCAGCAAGCAGGGACTATGACTGGGTAAGCATGAGTGTTTGTGTTTTGTGTGTGTGTGTCTGTGTGTGTGGTGGGGGGCGGGGTATGTGGGGTACATTTTATTATCAATGCAGAATGGAACATGACAATGCAGATCCCAGTCCTTACATACCAGAGCTCTTCTTCCGCTTCATCGCAAGTGTAGCCACCACAGCTCAAGTAACCACATCTCCAATGAAATTTGATAGTGCATACCAGAGTATCTTAGTTTTTAATCTCCCTAAAAGTATACCATGTCACTCATAGATTGAATATATCAAAGTTGTCTTCATATGGAAGCCATGAATTTGTCTATATGGGTCTCAGACATATCATTGAAATATAGCATGCCCAAGAAAGTTTAATTAATGTGTATTTGAACAACTACAGTGTATAGACATCAACCAAAATATGAATTATCAGTTCATAGTATCAAGTCTTCATAAATGCACATCACTGTTGCCAATCCATGTCTATATTTCACTGGAAATCTGGCATAATATTTTCTTTACTTTGGTGAATGTAAGAAGGCAAATAAGTCTTGAGTACTCATCCTAAGTTGTATTTATTGGATACCACATATATTAAGTACCCTACAGACCCAGTAGACACATTTCAAAAATTATAAAATAATTAAACCTTACAATCCCATCGCATTAGTAATCTTTACTTTTCCACAACTTGAAACAATTCTATGTCCTTCAACTCTCGGACCCCTTTCCTCATCGTCTCTTCCTAGGTCAAATATGTATGAAGTTTTCACAACTCTGGAGTGCAGATGTTCTAAGCATGACCAAAATGTGAAAAGTGATGAAGAATGATGATAATCATTTTGACTACTTACAAATTAAAAAAAATCTCTTTGGCATCCACAAACACAGAAATGTACAAACACTTTCCCATAATCAACCTCAAAGACATGTAAACAGTTGATGGACAAAATAGTAACAATGTGTTAATACCCTTCAGCCCAAGGCCACCTGGAGCACATCTGTGGGTGAAGAAGTTGGGTTTATTACTCACTGCAGTGGGAGGGAGAATGCACACCTTGGATAACTACCGAGTATCTTGGTAAGTGCCTTTTAGATAGAGCCTATTATAATATTTGGGCTTCAGCTGGTATTTCAAGTTTCCCTGGGATTTAATTAATTAGTAGTTATGACTGAATGATGACACAGAGAGGTCTATGCCACTGAAAAAAGAGTTTATTACCCACTGACATAGGAAGCACAGCACAACAGGCAGCACCAAGGCTGGTCAAGTGGCAACGGGAGGGGAAAGCATGGGCGAGAGCCTCTAATGTGGTTTTTAGGGGAATGAATGAGCAAGGCAGGGTAAGCAGTGTAGACATGTTCAGTATTGATGAGTCTGAATAATCTTGGTGACTCTGAGGCATAGGGATTGTCTCTAGTTGTCTGATACCTGTCTCTCAGATTATTAAGACAGGAGAATATTGACTGGGAGTATCGGGGCCATGTGACAGCCAGAAAAAAAGAACTCATTCTGAGTTTGGGCTCTGGTTTGGTTAGTTTGCATAAGAAAGGCGCATTTGCGGTCAATCCCTTTAGTATCTGTAGGAATAGACTAGTCTTGGGAGGGGAGTCCTCACAATCAGTGAGGACTCAGATGCCAGAGCATGAGAATAAGGAAAAAAAGAAAATACAGATAACACAGTTGAGAAATTCTATTTTATTTTATTGCTCTAGATTTAGTACTGTCAGTAAGCAGAGGCAATTCTACAATTCGGTATTTCAATAAATCTTACCTTTAGGGAGGGTGGACTAGAGTGCAGATAAAGCTTAATCCGTAGAGAAGCATCAGCCACTCATACTAGCCGGGAGAGGGTTTAGACAAAATTATGAAGTACTTTTGTTTCGCCTCACTTTCTCATGGGCTGAGAGTGATCCAGTGTGGTGTTGGTATTTTGTGATATAATTTATGTCCCAGAGGGACTAATATGGCCCAGTAGTGAAGACCAGACCAGCTCCTGGCAACACTGATGCCCAGCTGTGCCAGACAAGTTCCCAGATATTAGGGGCTGCTTTTTCTTGATTAAATTCAATATTTAAAAATATCAGCATTACGTTTGAGAAATGATTAAGAAATGTCATATAGTTATATTAGTAATAAATATGTGCAAAAAATAAGAATGTAGACTACAAAATGGGAACCAGAATTAAAATCCATCAGCTTGGCAAAGACAGAAGTAAATGATGGTAGTATTGATCAGAGTACAGGGAAAATGTACTGTTACGAAGACTGATGGCATTGAAAAGTGGTACAAAACTTCTAAAGGGCACTTTTGCAAAATGTCTCAATAATTTAAATGTTCTGACGTTTTTGAGACAGAGTCTTGCTCTGTCGCCCAGGCTGGAGTGCAGTGGCACAATCTTGACTTATTGAAGCCTCCACCTCCTGGGTTCAAGCGATTCTCCTGCCTCAGCCTCCCGCGTAGCTGGGACTACAGGTGCGTGCCACCACGCCCAGCTAATTTTTGTAATTTTAGTAGAAATGGGGTTTCACCATGATGGCCAGGCTCATCTCAAATCCTTGACCTCAAGTGATCCACCCGCCTTGGTCTCCCAAAGTGCTGGGATTACAGGGGTGAGGGACTGCGCCGGGCCTAAGTGTTCTGACATTTTGACATGAAAATTTCTCTTTTAGGAATTTATCCCAAGGAAATAATTACATATCTTTCTAAAAACGCATATATAGGCCGGGCGCGGTGGCTCATGCCTGTAATCCCAGCACTTTGGGAGGCCGAGGCAGGTGGATTACGAGGTCAGGAGTTCAAGATCAGCCTGGCCAACATGGTGAAACCCCGTCTCTACTAAAAACTACAAAAATTAGCCGAGCGTGGTGGCAGACACCTGTGGTTCCGGCTACTCGGGAGGCTGAGGCAGAAGAATTGCTTGAACCCGGGAGGTGGAGGTTGCAGTGAGCTGCGATCATGTCACTGCACTTCAGCCTGGGTGACAGGTCGAGACTCTGTCCCAAAACAAAAACAAAAAAACCACATATATAAGAATGTTCCTTGAATTGTGGTTTATAAAAGCAAAATAATGGAAATAACCCAAAGATTGTAATGAATATAGTGATGATAGTTATCAATAATGGAGCATTTAGTATGACTCAGAAAATAATGCCATGGCTTTACATAGAGAGTCAGATTTAATCCTCAATGCAAACCCATGGGGAACTCAATATGTGATCCTTTGTACAGACAGGGAAGGAGAGAGGTAAAGAAGGTGGTGGGGCTAGGGTTGAACCCTGGAGATTTTCTCTCAGAGGCCTTGTTGACTTGTCTTCCATTGATTCTCTCTTCATCTGCACCTTACACAAGTGAACTGTTTTGATGTCCCAGAATGTTCTATGGACAGGAGGCCACTGGCTCAGAGCTCAGGAAGACAAGAAGGGCAATGACTTAACTGCCAAATTCACGCAGAAGTCCGTTCATCCAGGGTGTATTTCCAGTGATCAGGAGATCTGCTAAGCACTTGAGGATATAATGAAGAGCAAGAGTAAAATCTTGGAGATGGGGAGTTTTCAATATTGTAAGGAAGATAAATATTTAGCAAAAATTGCCCCAAGATTGTGAAATTGCTAATGAGCGTAAGGGAAAAGTTTGTGATATCATGAAAGCAGGTTACAAGGAGACCTAATGGGTCCCTACCACTATTACCAATTATGTGTGAAAGATGTAAGAAAACAGCAGTTATGAGATTTGAACAAATTTATAAACAATTTCATGCAGAGAACTAGAAAGAGCTCTGGAATTTTAAAATATGATCATTGAAATAAAGAGTTTAAAAAATGAACTGAAATGAAAGTTGTGTGCTGCAAGGTAGTACAAAATAAAAACGTGATGCCAAGCATGATAGAACTTTAAGAATATTATACTATCAATTAAGGAATTCCAGCAGTCTCATAATATAAGTTCCAATAACCATAGAAAGTAATTAAAAGTAATTCAAGAAAATGTTTTGAAGGCTACTGACAAAAATGTATAGTGTGAATGGCTGCAACAAAGTTCTCAATACAGGAGATGGAAACAGACCCACACCAAGACTCATGACAACAAAATTTCAGAGAGTGAAAGACAGAGCAAGACCAATGGACAAAGGAATGGCAGGAGGTCTGGTCGTGTGTGTGCATTTCCTCCTTCCCGTCTGTCATTGTCCTTCCTCACCAGGCCTGCAGATCACCTGTGATGACTTGGCCTCTTGCCATCCCTAGCTGGGCAAACTCCATCATGGTGACACACGGGATGGCAGAAGTGCAAGGCCTCGTTTCTGCTGGATGAGCCTTCTGGAGACTGTCTCAGGGTTTTCTGAGAACTTCTTTAAAACCTGGTCTACGGGCATGCATTACCCCAGTTATTTTTTCCCTAAGTGAAAAATCAACCAGAGGAGATGATTTATTTTAATAGCCTTATTGCAGGAGAGGAAGGTGAAAAGTGTTTCTATTCATTGGCCCATTAGTTACAATGGGCAGAGGCCACTGAGCGAGCAGCGGGTGGTGGCAGTGATGACCACACGTTCTCACGGCAGCGCAACACTTTTGAGACAAGTTCCCACCTCTCCATTAAACATGTCTTCTCCACGTGCAGAAAATGTGGTCTCGTAGCTTCCCTTCTCAGTGCTGGATTGCTGGCATTTCATTTTCCTTATCAGAGACATGAATATCTTTGTTCTTCTTGGATTTCTAAGACTTCAGGTTTTCTTCAGGGAGAAGCTGCTTAGGGAGGCTCCTGCGTGGACCGAGTCCTTCCTGAGGGTTTGCTTGGTGCCCTAACTGTGGCTGACTGCCTCCCGCGGGGTCCCAACTTTATACCCAGAGGTAAGGACAGATGCTTCCAGCTCCATCTTATAACTTCCACATGAAATTTGAGGTCAGGAACTTCTCTTAACTCGTCTTAAAGGGCCTCATACTTACATTCTTGACTCGGAAAATAATTAAGTGTGCGTTTGAACATGTTTCCTCCGCAATTTACTCTCTGGAGGGGAATACATTGAAAACCCAGTTTATTTTCAGATACTGAGTGGGATTGAAAAGCTGAATTGTCTGTTTTCCTGCAGGGCACACAGAGGAACTGGCTGTCCCACACCACTCTGACATTTCCAGAGAAGCACCGTCCTCTTCCAGTAGGACATGAGTAAGACCAGTGAGGAGCCAACATGCAGCCCCTGGGCATCTCTGGGGTTGAAGGAAAGATATATATGTCCTTCTGATGTGTGGAGCCCTGAGGGCAGTGTTCAAGACCCTGCATTTTCCGAAGTACTTGTTTACTGAGCAAGTGTTTCTGCTTGTTGCATTATGTCAGGGGATATGGAAGCCACTTTTCATCCAGCCAAACACAGATGCAAATGAGATGTTCTGGGAGAAAGCAGAAAAAGCCCTTTTCACAGAGTTCCTTATTTTACTATTCTATTACACTTGTCTGAGGTTACAATCACATCCTTTTTTAACAATCTCTAAATGAGAAAATCATCAAAAGGGTATGTAGTGAGTGACAGACACAGGATAAATGCTGTAAGTCAGTGTTTGATGAAAGATACTGGTGTTCCAGGATGTCAGAGTCTCCTGGGTGCCAGTAGGGAGGTGGTCAGGGACTTTATCCAAGAAGCAGAAAGAAGAGCTTCAGGGACATGAGGATGTCTCATAGCCAAGGACAGGACAGTAAAGGGCCCCGTGTGAGTGCATCACAGAGGTCTGTTACTGTTCAGACCCCAAAGCTCAGCACCCAGTGTGGCATGTGGCAAGACCTCAGCAAACACATCAGTTGGCTGGATGAAGGAGGGCAGGTGTGAGCCGACAAGGAAAATCTTGTGATTTTTGTTGGGAAATGAATGTAAAAGTGTTGATGTACCTCCCTTGTAAGGAGATAGAAAGGTAGAGAGCAGACAGATGCATGCATGGATGAATGCATGGATGGATGGATGGTTGGATGGACGGATGGATGTTCATTTTCTGTGTGTGTTTCTATCTCTGTTCTGCCTTTCTGTTTTGTCTCTGGCTCTGTCTGTATCTGCCATTGTCCCTTCACAACCATGCCTTCACTATTATCAGTAACATCTTTTACCTGGTCTTATAGGATCTTGCCTGTGTTGTATTAGTGGTCAAGGACAGAAAAAAGAAAGAAGTCTGTGGAAAACAAAATAAAGGAAACAGATGCTTCTGACATGCGGCAGTGGAAGGATGTGTGGACCTGAGGCCCCCAGGGAGACAGGGGCTGCGCCTCACTGCAAAGTCGATCCTGCTGAACACAGAGGGGAAACGCGCTCAGACAGCCCTGCCCGTGCTGATCAGAAGGGAGGGTTGCGCCTCCAGATCCTTCTCCCTGTGTTTCTTCAGGGCCCAGCCCTGAGAGTTCCAGGGTCCCATTTTCTTAGTTAGGACCTTAAGACCCTATCAGAGTCCAGCCCCAGGAAGCCTGCAGTCATAGCACTGGGCTAGACCAAGTTGCTGCTATGAAAAGGGATTTGAAAATTCCCAGAGGAGCCTTTCAGCCTCTTTCCATGGCTCTTTATGCCCTTTCAAAGGCACAGCCAGAGACATCAGAAATGAAATTGTATATAATTATATGGACTTTTCGACAATCATTGAAATTTTTGTAAGTGCCAGTTATATTTTGGCAACCCCATCAAAGCCAGGTGTGCCCAGGGCAGTCAGCTCAGGCCCTGGCCTCTCATTCAGGTTGGATTCTATAAGAACCGCATTCGCGGTGAGAATTCTAGAGCCAGATCTTGCTGCTCCACAATTGCCTCACGTTGCAAGACAAGCAAATCTAGCCTGAGTCTGTGGATTCCAGGGCTGCTTAGGAGGAACCTGCATTCCCGCGTGGATGACCTCAGGCTCCGCCCCTTCTGCCCCACTCAGCCCTCACCCAGTGCCTGAGAGCGCTCAATCAGAATGCGAGAGCAGCGCGGCGGCGCCCCCGTGTGGCCACAGGGACGAGGACAGAGGACCGGACCCCGCTCCCCTTTCTCACCAACCAGGACCTCCGAGGCTCTCCCTCTGCTCCCAGCACCTGGACAGGGCTCTGCACTCAAGGAGCCTCCGGGTCTCAAGTCAGGCTCTGAGTCCATTCAGCTTCCCAAAATCCATGTTGACAATGACATTTCCTCTCACCACTGAGTGACTGGACTTTTGCCTCAGAGCAGAGAGAGGCCTCCAGGGCAAAACAGTGGGATCAGATGTGGGGATGACACACCCCCAAATCCTTGCTGCCACAGGACCCAGTCCCTCAGCCTCCAGATGGGGCCTTGGCCTCCCGTCCCCTCCTTTGTTCCTGCTGCTAGAGGCTGCTCATCCCAGGAATCAGCCTGTTAGCCTCCAACCCTGGGGTCCAGGGACAGCAGCTCCTAGTGCCTCGGTCCAGGAAGAAGGGAACCTCCAGAGAGCAGAAGAGAGAAGAAATGGATCATAAGAGAAGGGGGCAAGGGGGGAGAAAGAGAGTGAAAGGAGCCAGGGAGGAGAGAAAAATGGAAAACATCCTGTTAGGAATGTGTGTGTTTGTGTTGATGTGTGTGCGTGCAGGTGTGTGTAGAGTGGGAGAGAGTTTCTAGGGTTCTGAGGAGAAGAGAGCTGCTATACAGGTGCTAAGGGGCCCAGCCCTGGGAATTTCAGGGTCCCGCTTTCTGAGCTAGGATCTTAAGGCCCTATCAGAGTCCACCCCCAGGAAGCCTGCAGTCATAGCACTGGGCTAGCTGGACGGCTGCCTCTTCTTTGCCTTTGACAGCAGGAGCTGCCATGCCAGGCCCAGGGGCCCTGGGGTCATGGGCAGAGAGCAGGTCCCTCTGCTGGCAGCCAAGGAGATGTTGTTCTTGGAGGGTCAAAGACTTACTTAGCTGGGAGTCTGAAGGTGGTCATGGGTTACAAAGGGGTTACAAAGAGCTCAGCGGTGAGCCTGGCCCAAGCTTCTGACCCCTTTCTTTGGATCTCAAGGGCTGACCATGGATTCTCAATGGATCTCAAGAATTCGCCCATTTACCTCTTGCCCCAGACCCTCCCCACTTCGATACCCTGGGACCCAGGCATCTGCCTCTTTCCTTCTCCTCCGGCCTCCCAAGCACCTCCAGGCCCTGCTCTCTGCCAACCTGAACTCCAGGACCCTGCAGCCCCACCCCAAAATTGCTTGATAATACAGTGATTCTATTTTCAGTGTTTTGAAAACTCTGTATACTGTTTTTTACAGTTGCTGTACTAGTTTTACACACTGTGTGTAAGAGTGCCCTTTTCTCCACATCCTCACAAACATCTATTTGTTTGTTTGTTTTTTTTTGTCTTTTTAGTTGTACCCATTCTATCTGGGGGTAAGATGATATCTCATTGTGGTTTTGATTTGCATTTCCCTGATGATAAGTGATGTTGAGCATTTTTCATGTACCTGCTGGCCATTTGTATGTCTTCTTTTGAGAAATGTCTATTCATGTCGTTTGTCCACTTTTTAATAGAATTTTTTGGTTTTTTTAGCTCTTGAGTTCCTTACATATTCTGGATATTAGTCCCTTGTCAGATAAATTGTTTGAAAATATTTTCTCCCATTCAACAGGTTGTCTGTCTACTCTTTTGATGGTTTTCTTTGCTGCGCAGAAGCGTTTTAGTTTATTATAGTCCCATTTGTCTATTTTGTTTGGGTTGTCTGTGCTTCTGAAGTCTTAGCCATAAAATCGTTACCCAGACCAATGTCCTAGAATGTTTCTCATATGTTTGCTTCCAGTTGTTTTATAGTTTTGGGTCTTACGTCTAAGTATTTAATCCATCTTGAGTTGATATTTATATAGGGTGAGATATAGGGATCTAATTCCATTCTTCTGCATGTGGATATCCAATTTCCCCAGCACCATTTATTGAAGAGGGTGTCCTTTCCCCAAATGTATGTTCTTGGCACCTTTGTCAAGAATCAGTTGGCTGTAAATATATGGATTTATTTCCAGATTCTCTATTATGCTGCATTGATTGACATGTGTTTGTAGAGACGAGGTCTCAGTATGTTTCCCAGGCTGGTCTAGAACCTCTGGGCTCAAGTGGTTCACCCTCCTTGGCCTCCCAAAGTGCTGGGATTACAGGAGTGAGCCACAGTACCTGGCCTTTGTGCTGTGTTTTGATTCATCGTTATCTCCTAAGCCCTTTCCCAGCATTGATATTTTACTAAACACCCTATGATTAAATTATATCTCTACACCTTGAGATAAACAAAAAATTATATAAGCGGTAAAGACAAATATGAAAAAATAAAACTACTACCAATGTTATTAGGAGGATAACCTTAAAACATTTGAGCAAGAAAATTTTTCTTTTTTTCTTTTTTCTTTTTTTTTAGCTGTACCTGCTGGAATGGAAAATATTTCTTAAATGAGACAAATATATGAAAGTGAAAATGCTTAAACTTCAAAGGACTTACATTACATATATAGTCATTCTTTCTTAATGATAAGATAGGTTCTGAGAAATGTGTCCTTAGGTGATTTGGTCTTACGTGAACATCATAAAGTGTCCATACACAAAGCTAGATGATATAGCCTACTGCACACCTACGCTATATCATAAAGCCTATTGCTCCTAGGCTACAAACTTGGATAGCACATTACTATACTGAGTACTGTAGGCAATTGTAACACAATGGTAGGTATTTGTGGATCTAAACATATGTAAACAGAAAAAGTACAGTAAAAATATGGTAAAAAGATTTTTACAATGGCACACCTATATAGGTTACTCATCATGAATGGAGCTTACAGGACTGGAAGTTGCTCTGGGTGAGTCAGCAAGTGAGTGGTGAGTGAACTGAAGGCCTAGGCCATTACTGTGCACTACTGTAGATTTTATAAATGCTGTACACTTAGGTTACACTAAATTGATTTTAAAAATAATTTTCTTTCTTTAATAATAAATTAACCTTAGCTTAATGTAACTTTTTTAACTTTATAAACTTTAATTTTTAAAACTTTTCAGCTTTTGTAATAGCACTTAGCTTAAAAGACCAACATGTTACAAAGCTGTACAAAAATATTGTTCCTTATATTTTCATTCTAGAAACTTATTTCTATTTAATTTTTTTTTTACTTTTAAATCTTTTCTGTTAAAAAAAAAAGACATAAATTAGCCTAGGCTGACACAGGGTTAGGATCAACAATATCACTATCTTTAGCCTTTACATCTTGTCCCACTGGAAGATTTTCAGGTGTAATAACATGCATGGAGCTGCCATCTCCTATGATAACAATGCCTTCTTCTGGAATACCTCCTAAAGGACCTGGCCGAGGCTGTTTCAAGTTTTTTTAATAATTAGAAGGAGCACACTCTAAAATAACAATAAAAAGTATAGTAAATATGTAAACCAGTAACATAGTCATTTATTATCATTATCAAGGATTATGTATTGTACATAACTGTATGTGCTAGACTTTTATAGGATTGACAGTGCAGTAGGTTTGTTTACACCAGCATCACCACAAACATATCATTAATGCATTGTACTATGATGTACAGTGTCACCTACAATGTCACTACAGAGAAGAAACCCCCAAAATCTGCACTCCTAAGCTGCATATGCTTTAGGTGATACTCTAAGAAGCCCACCAGAGAACAGTTGCTTGGAGATTGCATGCTAAGTAGAAATGCCAAAGGCTTCAGAGTATGAGGAGATGTTGGAATTTTAGCCCAGCCAAACCTGGGTTGAGCCAACAGGGTGGTGAAGCACTATGAGTGAGGACCCTTGCCTTGGAGTAAGGACCGCACTGAACTAGACTCATGTTAACAAAGGCTAAAATCAAGCCTAAGCAGAATCAAAGTGGGTCTGATTTTTATGATAATTAATGAACCGTCAAGCAGTTAGCAGTCTTAGCAGGAAGATAGCAAAATCCAGAACCTCTGTAACACATCACCCAGAATATGTGGCATGCCAAGCAGCAGAAAAAATGCAACAAGTGGAGATAAAATAATCAACAGAAGCCGACTCAGATGATCTGGATACTGAAGCCAGCGAGCAAGGACATTCTTCAATATATTTATGATTAATATGTTAAGGATAATAGAGGAAATCATGGGCAAACTATTTCATAATCCCCAGAAAGATCAATCATACAAAGAGAGAAAACACGAATGAACACTGTGAGAAGGGACAACTTATAAAACCACAGATTTTATTAAAATGAAAATAAGAGAATATTAGACACAACTTCATGACAATACCTTTTAAAATTTAGGTGCAATGAAATGAGTTCTTGAAAAACACAGTTGAACAAAGCCAACAGAAAACTAAGTAGAAAATATAAATAGTCCTCTATCCATTAAGAAATTGAATTTTAATTAAATTCCTTCCCACCAGAAAAACTTCTTACCACATTTCCTCCCATCAATTCTTTCAAAAACTTAAAAAAGGAATGTCAGTCCTATATAGTCATCCCTTGGTATCCTTTTGGGCTGGGTTCTAGGACCCCTGTGGATACCAAAATCTGTGGATTCTCTGGTCCCATGTATAAAATGGCCTACTATATGCCTACTACCTATGCATATCATCCCATATACTTTAAATCATCTCTAGATTACTTACAATACCTAGTGCAATGTACATGATTGTAAACAGTAGTTATACTATATTGTTTAGGAAATAACGACAAGAAAATGTCTGTACATCTTCAGTACAGATGTAACCACTGTCAGTAGGCCTAACTACAGAGTACACAACAGCAGCAACATAACATTTCCAATCCTCAGGTAGTTGAATTCACAGATGTGGAACACACAGACATGGAGGACAGACTGTCTTATATTTTATATAATGAAGAGTGGCCAGGCGCGGTGGCTCATGCCTGTAATCCCAGCACTTTGGGAGGCCGAGATGGGCAGATCACCTGAGGTCAGGAGTTCAAGACCAGCCTGGCCAACATGGTGAAACCTCATCTCTACTAAAAATACAAAAAAATTAGCTGGGCGTGATGACAGGTGCCTGTAATCCCAGCTACTCAAGAGACTAAGGCAGGAGAATCGCTTGAACCTGATAATTGCTAGGCTTTGAGTAAAGTAGTTTGACCTTTATAATGTGACCCTCCCTAAACAAGATGGAACTCTGCAGCAGACATCCTGGGATTTGAACTGCAATATCAGTCAACTGACCCACAAAGAGCTGGTTGGTTTGTGTACAGCATTTGCAAGATGAGTGGACAACATCCTGTTTGGAAGTCTACCCCTTTGATCAAAGAAGTTAAAAACAGGACAGTTTTTTTTTTTTTTTTTGGTTGAATTGCATGATGTTTTCTGAGAAGTGATGAAAGAATTGAACAATGACAAAAGTCCCTATGTCTTAGTTTTTACTGACTTATGGGCATTGACTGATGGCCTGGCCATATAATTAAGAGAGCAATGGAAAACTGGCCTATGAAAAGAATACCCGTATAGGACACAGTCCTGTGGAAATCACTATGGTAATTTGAGGGGTGCATTAATGTAAGGCGTGTTGATGTCTGATATAAATTGGGTGTTGTCCCCACCCAAATCTCATGTTGAGATATAATCCCCAGTGTTGGAGGTGAGGCCTCAAGGGAGGTGATTGCATCATGGGGGTGGCTTCTCATGAATCGTTTAGTACCATTCCCTCAGAATAGTTCAATTAGTTCAATGCCCCTCAGAATAACCCTCCTCCAGGTTTGGAAGGTGATTGAAATCAACAAGCATTTATTTCTAAGTGATTTCCAGGTGTACCTGTATTTCCAGCTACAAGAAGAACTGAGGCAGAAGGATCTCTTGAGCCCAGGAGTCTTAGTTTTGCCTGAGCAACTTTTGAGTCCAGGGAAAAATATCAATACCACATCTCAAAAAAATCCACGTTTGCTTGTGGTGATCACCTGGGTCCGTGAAATAAGTAGACACTGAGGGCTGCAGCAATGCAGAGATAGGCTGAATCAAGATATATTCCTTTTACATCCTCCAACTCACAGGCACGAAATACCCATAAGGACTGTTCTGTTTAAGAAGAGACAGAGACAGCATATGGCTATGTAGCAAATTCTCTCATGGGAAGGTCTTGAAAATAGATAGCTGGCAAATTAGACTGATACCAGTACCCCTAGGAGGCAGCAAATGGGTCTTGGCAGGAATAGATACTGACCCTGGAGTAAGCATTGCTTAGCTGGTGGTAGATGTGTTATCAAACTGAACTGGGGCCCACTCACCTGGTGCAATAAAGGCAAACATCCACACTGAGATTTTGTAGTGGGAGAAAGGAAGGCGTTTATTTGCAAGGCACCAAGCAAGGAGAATCGGGCAGCTCACACTTAAGACCTAACCTCCCCAATGGCTTACAAGCAAGAGTTTTTAAGGCAGGAGTAAATTTCAGCAAAGCCGAGTTGCAGGCAACATCAAAAATCAATGCATAGAAATTACACACTGGTTTGGCCTAAAAAGGTGGGATATCCTGATGAGGGATCGTACAGGTCATAGGTGGATTGAAAGATTCTCTGATTTGTGATTGGATAAGGAGCCAAAGCTTTGTCTACACACTTAGGGGCAGTAGGGAGGAATGTTCAGGTCTGCTCTGTGGACCTGACTCTTTCCAGGCCCCTCAGGAAAAAATTTAGAACAAAGAGTCACAGTCAGCATTGAGTCCTCATTTTCCCCTTATCTGAGGTCTCCCTATCAGTGGCTCTGTTTGGTGAGAGTCTGGGTTCCTGAAAAACTACTCAAGGACATATGTTAAGATGTTCTCTTTAGTTTCTATAGAGAATCAAACATCTTGGGACTCTAACTTCCTTGGCTATTGTTTAAGCTATTTTTACCTGCTTGCTTATAAGGTCACTCACTTGCTTTTCAGGGCTGGCTAGGTGCCTGGAATTTCTCTTGAAGGAACTCAACATTTTCCTTTATTTCCATGTTAGGGAGGTCTAGCAGGCTTCTAAGATAAATCCGTACTTCATCTCAGATGCAAATGCTTAGAGCACTATAATAGAACCTGGACGGGAGATATTGCAACCATTTGCATCACTGAGTCACATTTCTTCACACCAGGAAACACATTTGCCCAAAATGTCCAACAATGTTCAGAAAAATATTTTGCTCAGAGGAATAGTTTCATAGAGAATAAAAATAGTCAAATGACACATTACTTGTATAAAGCAGGAGTGGGGAGACATAAGCATGAAGGGCGGGCTTACACACGTTCATGAGTGGGCTCACACCAGACATGAGTGTGGAAAAAGGAGTGTCCCCACTAGAGAGTATCCTCTTTTTTCCTGCTGGATCAGGGAAAGGTGCTAGTATGACCTGACATACGATTTTTCCCATGACAAGAGGACACTGGAATGATGACTAGACTTCACCTCAACTCGCCTTTCTCATACCTGATTCAGTGGTCTTAGGACAAGGGATGCATATAAAAGTGCCAAAACAGGAATTATTCCTAAGCAAGAAAGTGTAAATATATTTTAAAACCATTATGCAAGAATTCCTCAGGGCCTGGAGGAGTAGGTTGTGCCTTCACTGCATCTGGCAAAGTTGGGGCTAACACTGAATGCAGCTATATTGCCTGGGGTCAGATAGCCAACTAGTTCTCTACCTGCATAACCCTACCCTCTATGAACTGGAATGGACCAACGAGAGACACTTGCTAGAACAGTATTGCTCCCTTCAGTCTAGGCCAGCACAGTAGCAGAACTTAATGTTTCTTCCAAAACTGTTAATGTTTGGTATAAATGAAGTAGAAGGAGGAATAGTAGCTGAGGGTAAATGAATGAATAAATGGGTTGTGTAATGAGGAAAATCCAATGTTACATGAACTCCCAAAAAAAAGAGGTATAAGCAAGAGATGATATTGTCTCTTGACAATGATGGTGCACCCCGTCTCCATGGGGACAGAGGGTCGTGTGCTCAGAGTGCTTCCAGATGTCGCCTCCTGCACTTCATCTGCCTGCTCATTTGTATCCTTTACAACTGCTATTGTTTGAATGTTTCCCCAGAAAAGCGTCTGTTGGAAACTTAATCCCCAGTGCAACAATGTTAAGAGATGGGACCTTTGAGAGGTGATTGGACCATCAGAGCTCTGCCTTCATTAATGAACTGATCAAGGCTGCCCTCATTAATGCTGATCATAAAGGACCTGAGCCTGTGAGTTCGACCTCTTACTCCCTCTAGCTCTCACCCTCTCTTGCGCTTCTCCCTTCTGCCAGATACATTCCCTTGATTTTGGAATTCCCATCCTCGACAACCATGAGCCAATTAAATTTGTGTTCATTGTAAGTTATCCAGTCTCAGGTGTTCTGTTATAGTGGCATAATTTAAACCAGGGGTCCCTAACTCCCCTGCAGTGGACCGGTACAGGTTTGTGGCCTGTTGGGAACCAGACCGCACAGCAGGAGGTGAAGGGTGGGCGAGAAAGCATGAGCATGACCGCCTGAGCTCCGCCTCTGGTCAGATCAGTGGTGGCATTAGATTCTCATGGGAGCACGAACCCTATTGTAAACTGTGCATGCGAGGGATTTAGGCTGCACGCTCCTTTATAAGACTCCAGTGCCTGATCATCTGAGGTGGAACAGTTTCATCCCGAAACCCATCCCCGCCTACCTGTGCCGCCTGCCCTGGTCAGTGGAAAAGTTTTATTCCATGAAACCAGTACTTGGTGCCAAATATGTTGAGGTAAGCTATGATTACCGCTGATTTAAGCTATGACAATAATAAACTGCAATACTGAGTGTGAAAGAAAGATAAAATCTTGGGACCCCAAACTCACAGTGCCAAAGGGAAAAGTTAAGTTTGGGAACTGAGTCATGGAAAAACTGCCTTTCTTTTGTTCCTAAACAAATACCTGCAAAGATAGAGGACCACATATCTCCCCAAGTGGCCTCCCTCACAATCTGCTCACAATGTAATTCCTTGTGGGCCCCAACATCTTTACCCTAAAACAGAGTTTTGTTGACTTTTCCCCTGACAATGTAAAGTAACAGCTTATCTTCACAGGTACAGGACAAAGACAAGACTAGAAATCATCCCTTCACCCACCCGGAGACAAACACATATTTTACTACTCTATGTTTACTTTAGCTTATGTAAAATTCAGATTTACTGAGCACAAGATGAATGCATAGTTGACTGTTTTTCCCCTTCTGCCTGCTCTTTCCCCTGTAAGTACTGAAGTCCTCAAAACCCTTTTAGGAAAAAGCGTGGGCCACAGATGCTAGTGATTTTTGTCTCTTTTTCCAAGGTGCATCTTGGAATGGGAGACTGGAGGGACCCATGGATCCCAACCCTGGACCTGGTTCCCCCAGTACAATCCATGAGCCAGTTGAATCTGAATGCGAAGATGGAACGACGACTGACCAGAGTCATGCTGACATCAACCCCCATAACATGGGGACTGATCAAGAAAACCACACAGGAAGCTGAGAAACTGCTGGAGTGCCAGGGTGTCACCTTTTGCTGGAACTCAGAAGTACAATCGATGTTTAACGGACCAGTGCTTTCTGACTCAGCTCCTCTCTACCCTGAATACAAGAGACCCTAATAGTTAGGCAGGAATACCATCGCCCTTATTCTGCATGAAGAAGTTGCAGAAGACAGACCTTCATCCTTCTGCAACCCTTAGGATTAAGCATCCTCTTGTAAAAAGGGAAGGGGGAGATATGTAAGAAGCATTCAAACCACAGCAACTCTATTTTGAATAAGGGCTAAGAAAAATGAAGCTGGATCACCAACCGGCAATTAAGAGCTGCACAGCCTGCAATTACCTTGCTCAATTAATTTTAAAACAAAAAGGAGTAGATGTTGGAGGCCGCACGAATGTTTCTTATGATTTGCCACAATTGAAGCCTGCCAGTAACAATATGAACCTGTGATCAATTAAGCAGCTGACCAATCATTACCTCCTCCTCCTTGCCCTTATTACCCAGTAAATATGAAGGGCTAAGAAGCTCGGGCGGCGGCCTTTGCTCACTAGAAGCAGGGAGCTCTTTTCTTCTCGTCTCTCTTCTTCTTCCCCATGCTAGCCTTTCCTTAAAATGATGTAGGGTATCTGGCAGATAAAATTTCTAAGCAGCAAAGCATTCAAAGAGTGACTTGGGTGCTCCTAAAAGCATTCCATTTTCAAAGGGAAACAGAGCATAAAAGTTCAGAAAATTTACAGCCTGACAATGCAGTAGAAAAGAAAAACCCATTTTTTGAGGAGAAACTCAAGCTGGCTGCAGAAATTTGCATAAGTAACAACAAGCCAAGTGTTGATCCCCAAGACAAGGGGGAAAATGTCTCCAGGGCATGCCATAGGTCTTCATGGCAGCCCCTCTCATCACAGACCCAGAAGCATAGGAGGAAAAAATGGTTTCATGGGCAGGGCCCAGGGTCCCCATGCTATGTACAGCCTAGGGACTTGGTGCCCTGCATCCCAGATGCTCCCACTGTTGCTAAAAGGGGCCAAGGTACAGCTTGGTCTATGGCTCCAGAGGGTGCAAGCTTTAAGCCTTGACAGCTTCCATGTGGTTTTGAGCCTGCAGGTGCACAGAAGTCAAGAATGGAGGTTTGGGAACCTCCACCTAGATTTCAGAAGATGTATGGAAATGCTAGGATGCCCAGGCAAAAGTTTGCTGCAGGGGCAGGGCCCTCATGGAGAACCTCTGCTAGGGCAATGTGGAAGGGAAACGTGGGGCTGGAGCCCCCACACAGAGTCCCTACTGGGGCACTGCCTAGTGGAGCTGTAAGAAGAGGGCCACCGTGTTCCAGACCCCAAAATGGTAGATCCACCAACAGTTTGCACTGTGCATCTGGAAAAGTCACAGACACTCAGCGCCAGACTGTGAAAGCAGCCAGGAGGGAACATATACCCTGCAAAGCCACAGGGGCAGAGCTGCCCAAGATATGGGGACCTACCTCTTGCATCAGCATGACCTGGATGTGAGACATGGAGTCAAAGGAGATCATCTTGGGGCTTTAGAATTTGACTGCCCCACTGGATTTAGGACTTGCATGGGCCCTGTAACTCCTTTGTTTTGGCCAATTTCTCCCATTTGGAATGGCTGTATTTACCCAATACCTGTACCCCCATTGTATCTCGTAAGTAACTAGCTTGGTTTTGATTTTACAGGTTAATAGGTGGGAGGGACTTGCCTTGTCTCAGATGAGACTTTGGACTGTGGATTTCTGGGTTAATGCTGAAATGAGGAAAGACTTTGGGGGATTGTTGGGAAGGCATGATTGGTTTTGAAATGTGAGGACATGAGATTTGGAGGGGCCAGGGGTGGAATGATATGGTTTGGCTCTGTGTCCCCACCCAAATCTCATCTTGAATTATACTCCCATAATTCTTACATGTTGTAGGAGGGACCCAGTGGGAGATAATATGAATCATGGAGGCAGTTTCCCCCATACTGTTCTTGTGGTATTGAATAAGGCTCACAAGACCTGACGATTTTATCAGGGGTTTCCGCTTTTGTATCTTACTCATTTTCTCTTGCCACTGCTACGTAAAAAAAAAATTCACCTCCTGCCATGATTCTGAGACCATCGAGCCATGTGGAATTGTAAGTCCAATTAAACTTCTTTTTCTTCCCAGTCTTGAGTATGTGTTTATCAGCAGTGTGAAAACGGACTAATATAGCTGGCTTCGTAGACTGAATTGAAAAAAACTGCCTACTTTAATTTCTAAAAGGTATGTGTAAAATTGATGTAATTTCTAAATTATATGTTTGATACAATTCATCAGTGAAGCCTTCTGGACCTAGACTTTCCTATATTAGAAGGATTTTGATTACAAATTCAATTTCTACAATCAATATATGGCTGACCACATTTTCTATCTCTTCTCAGGTCAGTTTTCATAAGTTTTCCCTCTCAAGGAAATTGTTCATTTCATTTGCTTGTCAAACTTATTGACATGAGATTATCAATATTTCTTTTTGAGATCTAGAGTGTGTACTGATGTTCTCTCTTTTATTGCTGACCTTGTTAATGTGTATGTTTTTGTCTTGATCAGTCTGGCTAGAAATTTATAAGGTGTACGATTTTTCCCTATAGAACCAATATTTGGATTCATTAATTTTCTCTTTCTGCTTCAGTTTTTTATTTTATTATTATTTCCTTCCTTCTGCATGCATTGGTTTAATTTGTTCTTCTTTGCTTCTTACAGGAGAAACTAATTTACTAATTTGAGACCTACCTTCTTTCTTAATATAGGCATTTAAGGATATCAGTTTTTTCTTCAGTACTGCTTGTTGGGAACAAATGCTCAGTGTTGTAAAGAAAGATCAGCACTGAGACAAAGGATCTCTCAGCAAGGCAATTGACTTCTGCAGAAAGGATGCTACTTATGATGGAACGATGGCGAGTGCACACCTGAACAAAGGAGAGCAGGGGTTTTTTATAATCTCTTAATGCAGCTTGTCCCTGTAACTGTGTCTTGTCTCCATTGGCTGGAGCTGGACTGCACAATCTAAGCTGAACCTGGCTGGCTAACTTGAAAAGTGCAGGAATGTGGTTATACCAACAGAGAGTGCAGTCTTGGCGGGAGGAGCTGTTGCAACAGGAGGGTTAATCTATAGAGTGGGTAGCAGATGTGGGATGTGGTCTCCATAGATAAGGACTGGCGGGAAATTTGTTTACCAGGGCAGGGGATACAGAGCGTAAGGAAGTCTGGCCTTGAAAGCAGGGAACAAAGAGCCAGGATGCTGAGCAAGTTAACCCTTAAAGAGGAACTCTTTTTATATCTAACACTACTTCAACTGCATCCCATACATTTGATATGTTGTGCTTCAGTATTCTTCAGAAAACAGAAGACTTTCTAATTTCTCCTGTGATTTCCTCTTTGAATAAGTTGTTATTCAGAATTTTGATGTTTAATTTCCAATCCTTGGTATTTTCATGATCGTCCGTCTTAGTCAATCTGGGCAGTTATAAAAGAATTCCATAGTCTATGTGGCTTGCATACAACAGAAATCTATTTCTCACAGTTCCGGAGGCTGGGAAGTCAAAGATCAAGGCCTGGGAAGAGTCAGTGTATGGTGAGGGCTGCTTCCTGATTCATGGATGTTGCCTTTTCTTGGTGTCCCCACGTGGTGGAAGGAGCAAGCAATCTGGGGTCCCTTTTATAAGGGCATTCATTTTATTAATGAGGGTTTTGCCTTCACTGCATGATCACTTTCTAATGGCACAACCTCCAAACACCATCACATTAGAGATTAGGTTTCAATTATGAGTTTAAGGATGACAAAAGCATTCAGTCCCACAAGATCATCTTATTGTTACAGATTTCTAATGTATTTCCATTATGGCCAGAAAATATATTCTGTATGATTTCAATGTTTTCAAATTTATTGTTTTATGGCCTGAAATATGGTTTCTCCTGGTAAATGTATCATTCATACTTCAGATAATTTGTGTTTTTCATTGATGTGCATATGCATATAAATAAATTAAGTCTGGGTGCTTGATAATGCTTTTCAATTTTCTATGTCTTTGCTAAATTTTTCTTAGTTTTTGTATTTATAGCTGAAAGAAAGCTTTAAAATGTCTAACCATGTTTGTAGAATTCTCTACTTCTCTCTGTAATTTTGTCAATTTTTCTTCATGAACTCTAAAGATTTGCTATTGGATCCATTTCTGGTTGCATGTCTTTCTGTTGATTTTACCCTTTTGTTATTATGAAGCGCCTCTTTTTCTCTCTGGTAATACATATTATTTGAAAATCTTTTACTGGTAGTAAAATAACCATTTCAATCCTCTGTGCTTAATGTTTGTATGGCATTGCTTTTTTCATCAATTTTTATTTATCTGTGCCTTCATATTGAAATTGCATGTTTTGCATGCAGATGTATGTTCATTGCAGCACTTGTCACAATAGAAAAGACATGGAATCAACCTAAATGCCCATCAATGGTGAACTGGATAAAGAAAATGTGGCACATATGCACCATGGAACATTATGCAGCCATAAAAAAGAACGAGATCATGTACTTTGCAGGAACATGGATGGAGCTAGAGGCCATTATCCTTTGCTAACTAATGCAGAAAAAGAAAACCAATTGCCACATGTTCTCACTTATGAGTGGGAGCTAAATGATGAGAACATATGGACATATAGAAGGGAACAACACACACCGGGGCCTACTTGAAGGCAACGGGTGGAAGGAGGGAGAGGATCAAGAAAAATAATGAATGGGTGCTAGGCTTAATACCTGGGTGGGTACTAATAGGTACAGAAACTATATGACTGTGGGCAGCAAGCCACCCAGGTGCCGAGGCAAGAGACTGAAGGCACAAGCTCTTCCAGTATAATAAAGAAAATACTTAAAATAAAAATAGTTGTATTAGACATAAAATATAGATATGGTTATGTATAAATATTACTAATCATTAGTTTATGACATTACTCTTTATTCCAATATTATAATAATCTTTGTTCTACAATTATAACCTAGAAAAAACCAGGCCATACAGAGATAGGAGCTGAAGGGACACGGTGAGAAGTGAACAGAAGACAAGAGTGTGAGCCCTCTGTCATGCCTGGACAGGGCCACTAGAGGGCTCCTTGGTCTGGCGGTAACGCCAGTGCCTGAGAAGGCACCCATCACTCAGCAGATCGGGAAAGGGAGTCTCCCTTTGCCCGGGGGAGTTAGAGAAGCCTCTGCTCCACCACCTCTTGTGGAAGGCCCGACATCAGTCAAGCCCGCCCACAGCCATCTGGAGGACTAAACGTCTCCCTGTGATGCTGTGCTTCAGTGGTCACGCTCCTGTTTGACTCTCATGTTCCACCCTCTACACCTGGCTCAGCCTTCTAAATAGCAGTAGCAAAAATTAGTGAAAGTACTAAAGTCTTTGAAATACATAGAAGAAATAATGACATAAACTGTCCCCTCTCTCTCTCCGCCTCGGCTACCGAACAGGGAAGGGCCCCCTGTCTGGTGGACACGTGACTCACGTGACCTTACCTATCATTGGAGATGGCTCACACTCCTTACCCTGCCCCCTTGTCTTGTATCCAATAAATAACAGCGCAGCCTGGCATTCGAGGCCACTATCAGTCTCCGTGCCTTGGTGGTAGTGGTCCCCTGGGCCCAACTCTCTTTTCTTCTCTTTGTCTTGTGTCTTTATTTCTACACTCTCTCATCTCCACACACAAAGAGAAAAACCCACAGGTCCTGTAGGGCTGGAGCCTACATATGACAAACTCTCATGATACAAATTTACCTATACAAAAACCTGCACATGTACCCTGAACTAAAAATAAAAGTTAAATTAAAAAAAATAAAGTTCATGTCTTGAAAAGAGCATATGGTTGGGTTATTTTTTTTAATCCAGTCACAGAATCTCTGCCCTTAATTGGAGTGCTGATTTATGTAGGTTTTTGTCATTATTGATATGATAGGTTTTAGGTTTGTCATGTTATTTGCTCAGTTTTTCTTTCTCTGTTTCTCTTTTCCTGACCAATGATTTCTCATCAGAAACCAGAGAAACAAAATAAACTAGAATAACATCTTTAAAGTTCTGGAAGAAATAAAAGGTCAACTAAGAATTCTATATCCAGTACAGATGTCCTTCAAGATAAATGCAAAATAAGGAGATATTTCAGGTAAAAGATAATTAAGAGAATTTGTCACCAGCAGATCTGTACGATAAAAATTGGTAAAGAAAGTGTCTCAGGCTAAAAGCAAATGATACCAGGTGGAAAATGAGATTATCAGAAAAGATGAAGAATGTGAGAAGTGGTAAATATTAAGTGCGAAAGGCTATCTTGCTCCCCCACCCCCATTTAATCTTACTTCATATACATAGAACTGTTTAAAGGTAAAATAAGATAGCTTTCTGATGGGGCTTATAACCTATGTAAATATATTACATATAATATCTATGGCATAAAAGATGGACGTTTTATAGAGGATAAATGGTTGCAAGATTTCTATATTTATGTGAACTAGTACATTATTAACTGAAAGTGGGCTGTGAAATGTTAAGAATGAGTTAAGTTCTGAAGGAAATCAAGACACAAAAAAATTCAATAGATCAACAAATTCAGGAGATGATTTTTGAAAAAGTTAATAGGATAGATAGGCTGATAGCTAGACTAATAAGGAAGAAAAGAGAGGCGATCCCAATAAGCATAATTAGAAATGACAAAACAGATGTTACCACTGACTCTGCAGAAGTAAAAATAACCATCAAAAGCTACTATGAACACCTGTATGCACACAAACTAGAAAACCTACAAGAGATCGATAAATTCTTGGAAACATACACCCTCCCAGGAAGAAATTGATTCCTTGAAAGGACCAATAATGAGCTCCAAAATTAAATCTGTAATAAATAGCCTACTAACCAAAAAAAGCCCTGAACCTGATGGATTCACAGCTGAATTCTACCAGATGGACGAAGAAGAGCTGGTACCATTCCTACTGAAACTATTCCAAAAAATTGTAAAGGAGGAACTCCTCCCCAACTCATTCTATGAGGCCAGCATCATCCTGATACCAAAACCTGGCAGAGACAAAACAAAAAAAGAAAACTTCAGGTCAATATGTTTGATGAACATTGATGTAATAATCCTCAACAAGGTACTTGCAAACCAAATCCAGCAGTCCATCAAAAAGCTAATCTCAATGATCAAGTAGGCTTCATATCCAGGATGCAAGATTGGTTCAACACGTGCAAATCAATAAATGTGATTCATCACATACATAGAACTAAAGACAGAAACCACATGATTATCTTAATAGATCCAGAAAAACCTTTTGATAAAATTCAACATTCCTTTATGTTAAAAACGCTCAATAAACTAGGTATTGCAGGAACATACCTCAAAATAATAAGAGCCATCTATGACAAACAAACAGCCAACATCATACCAAATGGGGGAAGCATTCCCCTTGAAACCCAGCACAAGACAAAGATGCCTTCTCTCACCACTCCTATTCAACAGAGTATTGGAAGTCCTGGCCACAGCAATAAGGCAAGAGAAAGAAATAAGGGCATAGGGGAAGTCAGACTACCCCTGTTTGCAGACCATTACCAGTGAATGTTCCCTTAAGGCTCACAGGCTCTTATATCAGCTTGTGGTGAGTGCTGCTAACTAGTCTTTAATGGATTAAAATGTATAATGTGTTTCACTTGTGTATTAGTATGTTTTCACACTGCTGGTAAAGACATACCTGAGACTGGGCAATTTACAAAAGAAAGAGGTTTAACGGACTTAATGGTTCCACATGGCTGGGGAGGCCTCACAATCACGGTGGAAGGCAAGGAGGAGCAAGTCACATCTTGTGTGGATGGCAGCAGGCAAGAAGAGAGAGCTCGTGCAGGAAAACTCCCATTTTTTTAAAACCATTAGATCTCATGAGACTCATTCGCTATCACAAGAACAGTGCAGGAAAGACCCATCCAAAAATTCAATCACCTCCCACTAGGTTCCTCCCATGACAGGTGGGAATTGTGGGAGTTACAACTGAAGATGTGATTTGGGTGGGGACACAGCCAAACCATATCAACTTGTAAATTACTACAAAACTGTCAACACTTAGCCACTTCTGCTTCCTCAGGAAGGTCGGGGCAGCAGATCTGTGTGTTAAATATCTATGTGAAGTTATTTCCAGGAAGAAGTTTCATCTGTGGTTTCTTCTTCCCCAGGTCCCACAGTCTTCATTACAACCTCACGGTGCTGTCCCAGGATGGATTTGTATAGTCAGGGTTTCTCGCTGAGGGACATCTGGATGGTCAGCCGTTCCTGCTCTATGACAGACAGAAAGGCAGGGCAGGGGCCCTGTGGACAGTTGGCAGAAGCAGTCCTGGGAGCTGAGACCTGGGACACAGAGACCGAGGACTTGACAGAGAATGGGCAGGACCTCAGGAGGACCCTGACTCATATCAAGGGCCAGAAAGGAGGTGAGAGTCGGCAGGGGCAAGAGTAATGGCAGAGGCCTTCTCCAGGAGAGTTGGAGGCAGAGAGCAGGGACCTGTCTCTTCCCACTGGATCTGGCTGAGGGTGGGCTGAGAAATAGGGGTCAGTGGGGCTCAGCAGGGAGGTGAGCCGGCACTCAGCCCACACAGGGAGACATGGAGGAGGGCCAGGGAGGGGTCCCAGCTGGGCTGAGTTCCTCACTTGGGTGGGAAGATGAGGGGTTCAGGAATGAACTGCTGGGTGGGGGCAGGCTTGCATTCCCTCCAGGAGATTAGGGTCTGTGAGATCCATGAAGACAGCAGCACCAGAGGCTCCCGGCATTTCTACTATGATGGGGAGCTCTTCCTCTCCCAAAACCTGGAGACTCAGGAATGGACAGTGCCCCAGTCCTCCAGAGCTCAGACCTTAGCTATGAATATCAGAAATTTCTGGGATGAAGATGCCACACAGGCCAAGACACTTTCACCCTGTGATGGCAGACCGTCTGCAGAAACTACAGTAACATCTCGAATCCTAGGAGGGCATCAGGAGAACAGGTACCGACCCTGGGCAGGGGCTTTCCTCTCCCCCATTTCACTAGAGTCACTCCCCTGCCAGCTCTGTCCTGGGAAACCCTCTCTGTGCTATGGATGCAGGCGTTTCCTGTTGGCGTATTGTGTCCTGACTTTCCTCTCTTGTTAGAGCCACTGGATAAAGACAGTGGGTTGGGGACTGAACCATCCAGTGTTGTAATCTGGGAAAGCAATGGCCCACTCCCAACAGAATCCTCACCCTGGGGTGGGTGTTAGGCAGGAGAGGAAGCCCTCAGGGCTAGGGCTGCCCCCTCTGCCTCCCAGCCTGCCCATCCCAGAGAGTTCCCTCCTGGCCTCATGACCCAGGAGTCCAATCCTGACATCCCTCCCCTTCAGCATCAATGTGGGGATCTCAGAGCCTGAGGCCATAGTCTGAGGCCCATCCTCCTGCCAGCCCAAAGGAATTGGGCCCCAGGGTAAGGACAGACTTGCAAAAGATCCGGGGTCCATGAGGGCTTCAGCCAGAGTGAGAACACTGGAGAGGAGCAGCCCTGTTCCCTGAGTCTCCCTTAGAGGGAGCGGGGCTTGGCCATGTGCCTCACTGGCTCTGCCCTTTCCTATCCAGTGCCTACCATGGTGAATGCCAGGCCTCAGAGAACAAAGTCACCCCCACATGCTGGGCTTCCGGCTTCTATCCCCAGAATATCTCTCTGGCCTGGTGTCAGGTTGGGGCATTTTCTGAGCCAGGATGCCCATCGGTCTGTGGGTGTCCTGCCCAATGGGAATGGGACCTACCAGACCTGGGTGGCCACTAAGATTCCCCAAGAAGAGGAGCAGAGGGCTACCTGCTATGTGGGACACAGCAGGAATCACAGCACTTACCCTGGTGTCCTCTGGTGAGCCTGGGGCGACCCTCAAGTGTTCTGACCTAGAAAGGGTCAGGCCAAGGTGGGCACAGCAGAGATAACTGGAACTCTGAGTGCCCAGTGTGCAACAAGGCCCTTTTTTTCAGGGAAAGCCCTGATGCTTCAGAGTCTATGGCAACCGTTCCGTATGTTGCGGCTGCTGCTGTTTTTGTTATCATTATTATTATTCTCTGTGTCCTTTGGTGCAAGAAGAAAATATCAGCTGCAGAGGACCCAGGTGAAAAAAGGGGGCAGTGGCTGGAGATGGGAGGGACCCTGTCTGGGCAGTAGGGTCCCCTCATAGCTCCTGCACAGACAGGCATGTAGGTGACAGGGCTTTGGAACAGGGTTTGGAAGTTGGGGTATTTGGGAGGGGAATAGGAGCTACAATTTCATCTAGACCCCTAAGTCCTGCCCAAGCCAGGGCCAGGCCAAAGCCCTCGAATGTCCATCTGTGGCCTCCTCTTGCTGCAGGTGAGGAGTGGGCAGCAAGGAGGGCCGTGGCACCTGCTCTGTCCTCATCCCCATCCCTCTGTCTCTCAGGCTCACCAGCGTGCATCAGCGTGGGGTGAGCTGGGAATCATGTGCTGATTGCTGAGGGCCTGGATGATGATGGCTTCAGAGGGGGCAAATAGTAAAGACGGCTGTGATCTGGGGAGGGCTAGAAACTGGAGAGGAATATGAGGAGAGGTGGTGCCTCTAGTCCCTTCCTCTCTGCATCCCCCTCCCCTGTTTCTCCAGCCATCAGGAGGACACCAAGAAAAAGACCTATGAGGCCCAGACTGGGGGGCCTGCCTGTGCAGCCCCTTGGAGACCCCCTTGTAACAGGGAGGGTTCTGAGTGCACACAGCCATCTTTGTCCACTTTGTAGCTCCCCACGCGCCTCCTCCAGGAGCTGTCTCGGGGGTGTCGTGTCTCCTGGATCACTCGAGGCCATGCTCTTTCCAGGTTCCCACCACATGGCCCTGCACCCTGAGTTCCCTTGCAGATAATATGGATGAGAAGATACGCAGATGTCTCTGGGCCATTTGGGGAGTGGTGACCAGCCCCTTGTCAGGGCAGCTGTCATCCCTGTTTTCATCCTACTTCTAGGTGTTTCCTTGTCCAGGCCCTGAAGGACACAGTCCCTCAGGGACACAGTGCTCAGGGACCATGTTTTTTGGGCTTTGTTCTGTGCTCTGTGGCCTCACCTTGCCCTCCCTGAGCCTTTCTCAAGGTGGTCACTTTCCTGTAAATTTGGAGTAAAGGATGGTCAGGATGATTTCCCCCACAGTCAGTTGTTTGAGGGGAAAGTAAAAGAGAAAACAGGAAGTTTTGTGTTTCTGCAAAGACAGAGGCAGTGCAGGGGACAGTGAGAGGCTGGGTGTCCAGGAAACTGGAGTCTTTCTGCCATTTCCCCACTTTTTTGCACCTGGTGGTGGGGGTGGGGGTTTTTCATCCTTGAACCTAATTGCACTGTCTGTTGGCCCCTCAGTCCTGGGCAGATGGGAAGGTTCATCCCCTGCCCTGCAGCAAGAGGGCCCCGTCCAGGAGGCACCCACAGCAGGGGCAGTGCAGGTTTGTGGTCGCTCCTGCTTTCACCTGCACTGTCTCCTATAGAGGGGTTGTCACTTCTGGGTCCCCGTGGGCAGGAAAGTTTGCCTTGTAGGTCACGGGGCATTGGCCAGGGAAAGGGTGTGAAAGTCATGTGCTAATTTCTCAAAAATTCTCCTTTAAATATTGATGTCCAATAAAGATGTTCACAATTTCCGCTGGATAATCTTAATAGGATTTCCTCTAATATTGATGTTGTAAAGCATGTACAATCAAATGAGAAGTCAAGCTTGGAGCTTCCTCTCCAGGAGGGTCCATGTTGGAGATGGTGGTTGTGGCAGTGGCAATCCTGGAGTGCAGAGGGTGGGTGGAGGCAGCCTCAGGCTGAGGGGTCTCCAGAAACCCCCTGCTCCACAGGGAGAAGAAGAAGATTCCCTGTGGGCTGTGAGGGCAGTGGCCTGGGTGGAAGCCCTGCTAGGAACAGGGCAGGAAGGTCTTGCAGCCTCAGCAAGCAGCAGCCCTGGGGTGGAGGTGCATTTCCAGGGGTGAGTGGACCAGGCAGGAGCAAGGATGGCCCAAGTGCAGGTCACGGACCCGGGTGGGTGCTGAGGGTCTGGAAAGGTTGGGTGTCCTCAAGCGTGGAGGGTCCCAGGATCCAGTCAGGTGCAGACCCGGTGGCAGCCACGTGTTTTTGTGCCGAGCCCCCAGGCTTCTTGATGGGCTCTGCAGTTAGGGGCTGGCTGCTCAGGGCTCGGAGGGTGGAACGCTGAGCTGCAGGTGGAGCGGGGAGCCCAGTGTGCAGGGTCTGCCCTGTTGTGCAAGTGCCTCTGTAGGTGAGGAGGGCCTGGGGACTGAGAGGGAGAAGGACCGCGTGCGTGACCCAGCCCAGGCCTGGTAGGACACGGAGCTAGGACCATCCTCTCTTTGGGGAGGTTTCCCACTGTGTCTAGGCTGGTGGGGCTTGGGAGGAGGGGAGGGCCCCGGGTTCCCTCCTGGATCTGATTCTTGTCCTTTAGTCATGAGGCCCTTTCATTCCCCACATGGTGGATGGTGGGCACAGGGCAGGTATCATTGTTGAGGGAATCACAGGAGGAGACTGGTGGAGGCTGGAGAAACTAGGATGGGAGGGAGGAAAAAGTGGGGGCGTCAGTTCTTCCCTCAGAGAAAGGGTGAATCTGATTTCGGAGTTTCTGAGGAGGGAGAAATCCTCAGGGAATGAAAAGCAGCACTCTGCACCCAGTGGAGCATTTACTGTTTCTCTCTTTTCTCCAGAGCACATGAGCCTACGAAGCCCAGATCAACACCTGGTTGGGACAGGAGACCACCAGGGCACCATACAGCTGGAATTTCAGTCTCTGGTGCCAGCTCCTGGGTCTGCTGGCTCCACTGGATTCAACTCCCTACCCAGGTCTCACCAGCACTTTCCCTCTTGATGCCTCAGTTTCCTCATATATTAAATGGGAAACTAACAGCACTTATTTCTTGTGGTCAGGGATTGACAACTGTTAGTTGCTATGAGGTGTTTGCAGCTGTGCCATAATATTCGGTATTATTATTTTTGTTGTTTTGTTATTATCTTATTAACTTTTATTATCTTTTAATGTATTGTATGTGCAGTAATTACATGCACAAAAGCACATATGTGCCTTTAAACACATTGTATGTGCATAAAAGCTTTATGAGTGTGTGTCCTGTTGACGGTTCCTCCTGGCAAGCCTGGGACCAGCCTTTTTGGCACCTTGAGGTCCCCTCACCCTTCGCACACTGTTATAAATTACCCCATGTCTACTATGTCTGCATAATTTTATACTGTGGATTTTTACTCTTTAAATAGACATTTCTGGCCTGTGCTTTATTTCATGCATCTGGGAAGAGTAGAATACAAGGTTCAGGGGAAAAGGAGAGGTCTGTCTCAATGCCTTGACACAGCATGAAGAAATCTCTCCCTCTTCCTACCTCTCCCTGCCAGTTCCCAGTGATTGACAGATTCACAGCAAAACAGAAAAGGAAAGGTTGGGGGTGGGGGTGCACATCTGGGGCCAAAATTCAGGGGCTGACTCTGGGGGAACATCTGCCCTGAAGAGTTGGATCCTTCATGTGATGATGTTGAGCTGAAGTGTAATATCAGAGATGGGGGCAGAGAGGGCTTTGAGTTTCCCTGGTATTGAAGAATAGGAGTCAGACTGCTTCTGGGGTGAAGCGACTGCTGGGAACATGTGAACCAAATTGATGAAGAATAAGTGAATGGGGAATGTGGGTGAGTAAAGCAAGCATCAGCAGTCAGTTTCTGCCATCAGTTCAGGCTGATCGGGGTAGGGAGGTGGGGAGATGGATATTCCCCACCCTGTTGCTCAATCCTTCCTGACTGCTGGGTGCACCAAAATCTCAGAAATCACCACTAAAGAATTAATTCAGGTAACCAAACACCACCCACCCCTAAAAACCTTGAAATAAAAAATAATTTTTTAAAAAAGTGGCCGGGCACGGTGGCTCACGCCTGTAATCCCAGCACTTCGGGAGGCCAAGGCGGGCAGATCATGAGGTCAGGAGTTCAAGACCAGCCTGATCAACATGGTGAAACCCCATCTCTACTAAAACGACAAAAATTAGCTGGGCATGGTGGCACATGTCTGTAATCCCAGCTACTCAGGAGGCTGAGGCAGGCGATTCTCCTGAACCTGGGAGGCGGAGTTTTCAGTGAGCCGAGATCGCACCACTGCAGTCCAGCCTGGGTGACAAAGCAAGTCTCCATCTCAAAAAAAAAAAAAAAAAAAGGAATGATATTGGATATCCTTATTTTGTCCCCAACACAGAGGAGTAGTTTTCAATATTTTTCTCATTAATTTTGACTTTAGATAGAGGTATTTCTTTTTTATAAATAACTTTATTAGCTTAAGGAAGTTCTCTTTTATTTCTGGTTTATTGAGTTTTTATAATGAATAGTTGTTGAATTTTATCAAATGATTCTCATGCATCTGTTGACATAACTGCACGTTTTTCTACCTTTTTCTATTCATGTGGTAAATTACTCTGATTTTTTAAAGTCACATTTCTCTTATAAATCCCATTCAGTCCCATTGTACATTATCCTCTCCATATATTACTTGCTTCTATTTTCTAATATTTTAGATGGAATTTTGGTGGCTGTGTTCATCAGTTCATTCAGATGGTGGATATCTTTTTTGTAATGTCATTGTCATGTTTAAGTTCTTCTCTGGGCTATGTTGTCTCATAAAATTAGTTGGAAGGTGTTTACTCTTTTTTTATTATCTAAAAGAATATATGATAGTCTGCCCTCCATGTCTGTGTGTTTCACATCTGTGAATTTAACTACCTGAGGATCGAAACTGTTGTTGCTGCTGATGTATACTATGTAGTTAGGCCTACCTACAGCGGTTACATCTGTACTGAAGATATATAGACTTTTTCTTATCATTATTTCCTAAACAATATAGTATAACAACTATTTGCGAATAATTTACATTGAATTAGGTATTAGTAATCTATAGGTGATTTAAAGTATATGGGAGGATGTGCATAGGTAATAAGCAAATACTAGACCATTTTATACATGGGACCTGAGCATTCATAGATTTTGGTATCCACAGGGGGCCCTAGATCCCATCCCAAAAGGATACCAAGAGATGACTGAATAAGACTGACTTTTTTAAAAAAAGTTTTGGAAGAATTGACAGGGGAAAAAACGTGGGCAAAGAGTGTTTTTGGTGGGAAAGAATTTAATTAGAATCCCATTTCTTAATGGATATAGGACTACTTATATTTTCTATTCAGTTTTCTGTTGGCTTGTTCAATTGTCGTTTTCAAGAACTCATTTCATTGCACCTAAATTTTAAAAGGTATTGTCAGGAAGTTGTGTCTAATATTCTCTTATTTTCATTTTAATAAAATATACGGTTTTATGTTGTTCTTTATAGTGTTCATTTCTGTTTTCTCTCTTTTTATGATTGATCTTTCTGGGGATTTTGAAATAGTTTGCCCATCTTTCCCTCTATTTTCCTTAACATATTAATCATAAATACTTTGAGAATGTTCTTGCTTGCCTGCTTCAATATCCACATCAACTCTTAGCCTGATTTTTTTTATTATACTTTAAGTTTTAGCGTACATGTGCACAACATGCAAGTTAGTTACATATGTATGCATGTGCCATGTTGGTGTGCTGCACCCATTAACTCGTCATTTAACATTAGGTATATCTCCTAATGCTATCCCTCCCCACTTCCCCCACCCCACAACAGTCCCCGGTGTGTGATGTTCCCCTTCCTGTGTCCACGTGTTCTCATTGTTCAATTCCCACCTATGAGTGAGAACACGAGGTGTTTGGTTTTTTCTCCTTGCGATAGTTTGCTGAGAATGATGGTTTCCAGTTTCATCCATGTCCCTACAAAGGACATGAACTCATCATTTTTTATGGCTGCATAGTATGATAGACTGGATTAAGAAAATGTGGTACATATACACCATGGAATACTTAGTCTGATTTTATCTCTACTTGTTGCATTTTCTCTGCTGCTTGGCATGCCACATATTCTGGATGATGTGTTATAGAGGCTCTGGATTTTGCCATCTTCCTCCACAGACTGCTAACAATTTGATAGTTCATTAATTATAAAAGAATTACCTTTGGTAAAAATCGGACCCACTTTGATTCTGCTTAGGCTTGATTTTATTTTATTTTATTTTATTTTATTTATTTTTTTGTTATACTTTAAGTTTTAGGGTACATGTGCACAATGTGCAGGTTAGTTACATAGGTATACATGTGCCATGCTGGTGTGCTGCACCCACTAACTCGTCATCTAGCATTAGGTATATCTCCCAATGCTATCCCTCCCCCCTCCCCCCACCCCACAACAATCCCCAGAGTGTGATGTTCCACTTCCTGTGTCCATGTGTTCTCATTGTTCAATTCCCACCTATGAGTGAGAATATGCGGTGTTTGGTTTTTTGTTCTTGCGTTAGTTTACTGAGAATGATGATTTCCAATTTCATCCATGTCCCTACAAAGGACATGAACTCATCACTTTTTATGGCTGCATAGTATTCCATGGTGTATATGTGCCACATTTTCTTAATCCAGTCTATCATTGTTGGGCATTTGGGTTGGTTCCAAGACTTTGCTATTGTGAATAGTGCTGCAATAAACATACGTGTACATGTGTCTATATAGCAGCATGATTTATAGCCCTTTGGGTATATACCCAGTAATGGGATGGCTGGGTCAAATGGTATTTCTAGTTCTAGATCCCTGAGGAATTGCTACACTGACTTCCACAATGGTTGAACTAGTTTACAGTCCCACCAACAGCATAAAAGTGTTCCTATTTCTCCACATCCTCTCCAGCACCTGTTGTTTCCTGACTTTTTAATGATTGCCATTCTAACTGGTGTGAGATGATATCTCATAGTGGTTTTGATTTGCATTTCTCTGATGGCCAGTGATGGTGAGCATTTTTTCATGTGTTTTTTGGCTGCATAAATGTCTTCTTTTGAGAAATGTCTGTTCATGTCCTTCGCCCACTTTTTGATGGGGTGGTTTTTTTTTTCTTGTAAATTTGTTTAAGTTCTTTGTAGATTCTGGATATTAGCCCTTTGTCAGATGAGTAGGTTGTGAAAATTTTCTCCCATGTTGTAGGTTGCCTGCTCACTCTGATGGTAGTTTCTTTTGCTGTGCAGAAGCTCTTTAGTTTAATTAGATCCCATTTGTCAATTTTGGCTTTTGTTGCCATTGCTTTTGGTGTTTTAGACATGAAGTCCTTGCCCATGCCTATGTCCTGAATGTAATGCCTAGGTTTTCTTCTAGGGTTTTTATGGTTTTAGGTCTAACGTTTAAGTCTTTAATCCATCTTGAATTGATTTTTGTATAAGGTGTAAGGAAAGGATCCAGTTTCAGCTTTCTACATATGGCTAGCCAGTTTTCTCAGCACCATTTATTAAATAGGGAATCCTTTCCCAAGGCTTGATTTTAGACTTTGCTACTTTGCTATTTCAGTGTGGTACTTACTCCAAGGCCACGGCCCTCACTCATAGTGCTTCACCATCCTCATGTCTCAACCCGGGTTTGGCTGGGCTAAATTAATTCCAATATCTCCTCACACTATGAAGCCTTTGGCATTTCTACATAGCATGCAATCCCCAAGCAGCTGTTCTCTGGTGGGCTTCTTACAGTATCACCTGGAGCATATGCAGCTTTGGAGTGCAGATTTTGGGAGTTTCTTCGCTGTAGCTCCCTCCTTCAGCACCCTACCCTTAAATCCCAGTCAAAGTGCCAAGCCTGAACTCTGATCTCTGATTCCTTTGCTACTGAGATTGATTCTCTCTGCTTGGGTTCCATTTCCCTTCATTGAATTTTGAAAAAAATCCTCTTAGAAAGAAAGCTGATGAGGATGTGAGTCTCTCTTTCAGGGACTCCATTCCCTGGAGGGTGATAGTCCTGCTCTGGCTGCTGTTTTGCAGCTGCACAACTGCATCGTGTTTTGTCTGGCTTTTATACTTGTTTACAGTGGGAGGATGAGTTTTAAATGAGCTAGTCTATCACAGTTCAAGTCAGAAGACCTCTAATCCTTCAATAGTCATTGCATTTGAAAATCTGAATAGGGTAATTTGACAATTCACAGGCAAAGTTAATATGTTATATCTTAGTGCCCAGTTGAAACCTCAATTTCATCTTTAACAACCTTATACACACAAAATACACACACACACACACACACATCACTGTGTTATACAGTCATGCACTGCTTAATGATGTTTCTGTCAATGATTGATCACGTATACGACTGTCATCCTATTAAACGGAGCTGAAAAATTCCTATCACCTAGTGACATTGTAGCCATTGTAATGTCATAACACAATGCATTAATCATGTGCTTGTGGTGATGCTGATGTAAATAAACCTACTGCACTGCCAATCCTATAAAAGTCTACCCCATACAGTTAAAAACAGCATGTAATACTTGATGATAATAAATATGTTACTGGTTTATGTATTTACTATACTTTTTATGGTGATTTTAGAGTGTGCTCTAATTATTTTTTAAGTTAAATTAAAACAGCGTCAGGCAGGTCCTTTAGGAGGTATTCCAGAAGAAGGCATTGTTATCACAGGAGATGACAGTTCCATGCTTGTTATTACCTGTGAAATAACAGTGGGACAAGATGTGAAGGCTGAAGTTGGTGATATTGTTGATCCTGACCCTGTGTCAGCCTAGGCTAATGTATGTCTTTGTTTTTACCAAAAAAGATTAAAAGGTTAAAAAATTAAGTAGAAATAGTTTCTAGAATGAGAATATAAGGAAAAATATTTTTGTATAGCTGAATAATGTGCTGGTGTTTTAAGCTAAGTGCTATTACAAAATAGTTGAATTTTTTAAAAAATTAAGGTTTATAAATATGAAAAAGTTCAAGACTTGAACTCAGCTTTGGATCAAGTGGATCTGATAGACACCTACAGAGCTTTCCACCCAAAAACAACAGAATATACATTCTTCTCATTGCTACACAGCACCTACTCTAAAATTGGTCACATAATCAAAAGTAAAACACTCCTCAGCAAATGCAAAAAGAACTGAAATCATAATAAACAGTCTCTCAGACCACAGCACAATCAAATTAGAAACCAAAAGTAAGAAATTCGCTCAAAACCATACAACTACATGGAAATTGAACAACCTGCTCCTGAATGACTGTTGGGTAAATTATTAAATTAAGGCAGAAATCAATAAGTTATTTGAAGCTAATGAGAATGAAGAGACAATGTATCAGAATCTTTGGGACACAGCTACAGCAGTGTAAAGAGGGAAATTTATAGCACTAAATGCCTATATCAAAACACCAGAAAAATCTCAAGTTAACAATCTAGTATCACAACTAAAAGAACTAGAGAAACAAAAACAAATCCCAAAGCTAGCAGAAGACAAGAAATAACCAAGATCGGAGCTGAACTGAAGGAGAGAGAGACACACAAAACCCTTCAAAACGTTAATGAATCTAGGAGCTGTTTTTTTGAAAGAATTAATAAAATAGAACACTATCTAGACTAATAGAGAAGAAGAGAGAGAAGAATCAAATAAACAAATCAGAAATAACAAGGGTGATATTACCACTGGCCCCACAGAAATACAAACAACAATCAGAGAATACTACGAACACCTCTATGCAAATAAACTAGAAAATCTAGAAGAAGTTGATAAATTCCTGCCCACATACACCCTCCCAAGACTGAACCAGGAAGAAATTGAAACTCTTAGCAGGCCAGTAATGAGTTCTGAAGTTGAGGCAATAAATAGCCTACCAACCAAAAAAAGCCGAGGACCAGACAGATTGATAGCTGAATTCTATCAAAAGTACAAAGGAGAGCTGGTACCATTTTCACTAAAACTATTCCAAACAATTGAAAAGGGGGGACTCTTCCCTAACTCATTTTAAAAGGCCAGCATCATCCTGATACCAAAACTTGGCAGAGATATAACAAAAAAAGAAAACTTCGGGCCATGCATGATGAACATCAATGCAACAATCCTCAATAAAATTCTGGCAAACCGAATCCAGCAGCACATCAAAAAGCTTATTCATCACAATCAAGTTGGCTTCATCCCCAGGATGCAAGGTTGGTTCAACATACACAAATCAATAAATGCGATTCATAACATAAACAGAACTAAAGAAAAAAACCACATGATTATCTCAATAGATGCAGAAAAGGCACTTGATAAAATTCAATATACTTTCATGTTAAAAACTCTTAATAAACTAGGTGTTGAAGGAAGAGATCTCAAAATAATAAGGGCAATATATGACAAACCCACAGCCAATATCATACTGAATGGGCAAAAGCTGGAAACATTCCCCTTGAAAACCGGCACCAGACAAGCCTCTCACCACTTATATTAGTTTCACCATCATGAGAACAGCAGTTTCTTAAGCTGATAAGGAACTTCAGCAACGTCTCAGGATACAGAATGTGCAAAAATCGCTAGCATTCCTATATACCAACAACAGGCAAGCAGAGAGCCAAATCATCAACTCCCATTCACAATTCCTACAGAAAGAATGAAATACCTAGGAATACAGCTAACAAGGGAAGTGAAGGACCTCTTCAAGGAGAACTACAAACCACTGCTCAAAGAAAAATCAGAGAGGATACAAACAAATAGGATAACATTCCATGTTCATGGATAGGAAGAATCCATATCATGAAAATGGCCATACTGCCCAAAGTAATTTGTAGATGTGATGCTATTCCCATTAAACTATCATAGACATTCTTCACAGAATTAGAAGAAAAAAAAACACTATTTTTTTTTTTAAGATAGAGTCTTGCTCTGTCACCCAGGCTGGAGTGCAGTGGCGTGATCTCGGCTCACTGCAACCTCCGCGTCCCCAGGTTCAAGCGATTCTCCTGCCTCAACCTCCCAAGTAGCTGGGATTGCAAATGCGCACCACCACGCCCAGCTAATTTTTGTATTTTTAGTAGAGATGGGGTTTCACAATGTTGGCCAGGCTAGTCTTGAACTCCTGACCTCATGATCTGTCCACCTCAGCCTCCCAAAGTGCTGGGATTATAGGCGTGGGCCACTGCGCCTAGCCTGAAAAAAAAAACAAAACTATTTTTAAATTCATATGGAACCAAAAAAAGAGCCTGAATAGCCAAGACAATTCTAAGCAAAAAGAACAAAACTGGAGGCATCACATTACCTGACTTCAAACTATACTACAAGGTTACAATACTAAAACAGCATGGTACTGATACAAAAACAGATACATAGACCAATGGAACAGAATAAAGAACTGTGAAATAAGATCACACACCTACAACCATCTGATCTTTGACAAGTCTGACCAAAACAAGTAATGGGGAAAGAATTCCCTATTTAATAAATGGTGCTGGGAGAACTGGCTTGCCATATGCAGAAAATTGAAACTAGGCCCGTTCCTTAAACTATATACAAAAATTAATTCAAGATGGATTAAAGACTTAAATGTAAAACCCAAAACTATAAAAACGCTAGAAGAAAATCTATGCAATACTCTTCAGAACATAGGCATGGGCAAAGATTTCATGATGAAGACTCCAAAAGCAATTGCAACAAAAGCAAAAATTGACTAATGGAATTAATTAAACTAAAGAGCTTCTGCACAGCAAAGGAAACTATCAGCAGAGTGAATAGACAACCTGCAGAATAGGAGAAGATTTTTGCAATCTATACATCTGACAAAGGTCTAATATCCAGAGTTTACAAGGAGCTTCAGCAAATTTACAAGAAAAAAACAAACAACCCCATTAAAAAGTAGGCAAAGGACATGAGCAGACACCTCTCAAAAAAAGACATACATGCAGCCAACAAACATATGAGAAAAGTTGAACATCACTGATAATTAGAGAAATGCAAATAAAAACCACAATGAGATACCAGAGTGGCTATTAATAAGTCAAAAAACAAGAGATGCTGGTGAAGTCACAGAGAAAAAGCAATGCTTTCACACTGTTGGTGGAAATGTAAATTCGTTCAACCATTGTGGAAGACAGTGTGGTGATTCCTCAAAAACCTAGAGGCAGAAATTGACCTAGCAATCTCATTACTGGATACATACCCAAAGGAATATAAATCATTCTATTATAAAGATATATACACGCATATGTTCATTGCAGCACTATTCACAATAGCAAAGACATGGAATCAACATAAATGCCCATCAATGATAGACTGGATAAAGAAAATGTGGTACATATACAACATGGAATGCGATGCAGCCACATAAAGGAATAAGACCATGTCCTTTGCAGGGACATGAATGGAGTGGGAAGCCATTATCCTCAGCAAACTGACCCAGGAACAGAAAACAAAACACCATGTGTTCTCACTTATAAGTGGGAGCTGAATGATGACAACACATGGATACATGGGGGAGAACAACACACACTGGGGTCTGTTAGAGGGCATGGGGCTGGGGGAGGGAAGCACCAGGAAGAATAGCCAATGGATGTTGGCCTTAATACCTAGGTGATGGGACGATCTCTGCAGCAAACCACCATGGCACACATTTACCTACGTAACAAACCTGCACATTCTGTACATGTACCCCTGAACTTAAAAAAAGGGTGGAGAAAAAAAGATTAAAAAGTTACAGTAAGCTAAGATTAATTTATTATTAAAGAAAGAAAATGATTTTTAAAATTAATTTAGTGTAGCCTAAATGTACAGTGTTTATAAAGTCTAAGTAGTGTATAGTAATGCCCTAGACTTCACATTCACTCGCCACTCACTGACACCCAGAGCAATTTCCAGTCCTGTAAGCTCCATTCATGGTAAGTGCTCTAGACAAATGTGCCAGTTTTTAAAAAATCTTTTAACCACATTTTTGTGGCAAAATTTTGTGGGAAAATTCAAAGTCTTTTTTCTACTGTTCTTACACCCCAACAACTATCAACACAGAAGGCTTCTGCGATGAAATGTAGGGGATTTCTCCCCAAAAACAAGCAAACAATTGGTTCTGTTATGGACGCCAGCTGGGTATCCTCTAACTCAATTCTGACACTATCTCCCTGGAGATAATTTTAGATCCCGCAAGTTGATGGCTCAGTCCTCACGACTGTCACCCTCTCACTTCTGATGACAATCTCAAGCCCCAGATTATTTTGCCTGTGTTGCTAACTCACTGACTATAAATCAGGGTTCCCAAAACCCACCCTCAGGTTTGATTGATTTGCTAGAATGGCTCATAGCATGCCAGGAAACACTTACATACATTAACCAGTTTATTTAAAAGGATATTTTAAAGGATAAAGAGCCACATGAAGAGATAAGAGCCACATGAAGAGATACATAGGGTGAGGTCTGAAAGGGTCTTGAGTGCAGGAGCTTCTGCCCCATGTGTTTGGGAAGTGCTACCCTCCCTGGCACATGTCTGAGTTATTGTTCACCTTCCTATAAGCCTCCCTGTGTTCAGCCATACAGAAGCTCTCTGACTCTTCCCTTTTGGGTTTTGATGGAAGCCATATTTCTTAGGCATGATTCATTACATCATGGCCATCAGCTTAACCTTCAGCCTCTCTTGCCTTCCTGCCAATGGTATAATCCTATGTCTAAAAAAATCTAAAGATGCCACCAAAAAACAATTAGATCCAATAAATAAATTCAGTAAAGTGGCAAGATGCAAAATCAACATGCAAAAATCAATATAATGTCTACACATTAGTAATGAAGTAGCTAAGAAAGAAATTTAAAAGCAGTCCCATTTATGATAGCGACAAAAACCCCCCAGAAAAACAGGAATAAATTTAAGCAAGGAAATGAACAATCTCTTTACAAAAACCTACACAACACTGGGGAGCAGTTCCAAGATGGCCAAATAGGAACAGCTCCAGTCTATAGCTCCCAGCGTGAGCCATGCAGAAGATGGGTGATTTCTGCATATCCAACTGAGGTACCAGGGTCATCTCACTGGGGCTTGTCGGACAGTGGGTGCAGAACAGTGGGTGCAGTGCACCGAGCATAAGCTGAAGCAGGGCAAGGCATCACCTCACCCAAGAAGCACAAGGGGTCAGGAAATTCCTTTTCCTAGCCAAGCAAAGCTGTGACAGACGGCACCTGGAAAATCGGGTAGCTCCCACCCTAATACTGCGCTTCTCCAATGGTCTGAGCAAATGGCACACCAGGGGATTATATCCTGCACCTGGCTCGGAGGGTCCCAAGCCCATGGAGCCTCCCTCATTGCTAGCACAGCAGTCTGAGATCAAACTGCAAGGTGGCAGCAAGGCTGGGGGAGGGGCGCCCACCATTGCTGAGGCTTGAGTAGGTAAACAAAGCGACCGGGAAGCTTGAACTGGGTGGAACCAACTGCAGCTCAAGGAGGCCTGCCTGCCTCTGTAGACTCCACCGCTGGAGGCAGGGCATAGCCGAACAAAAGGCAGTAGAAACCTCTGCAGACTTAAATGTGCCTGTCTGACAGCTTTGAAGAGGGTAGTGGTTCTTCCGGCATGGAGTTTGAGATCTGAGAATGAACAGACTGCCTCCTCAAGTGGGTCCCTGACCCCTGAGAAGCCTAACTGGGAGGCATCTCCCTGTAGGGGCAGACTGACACCTCACACGGCCAGGTACCCCTCTGAGACAAAACTTCCACAGGAACGATCAGGCAGCAACATTTGCTGTTCAGCAATATTCACTGTTCTGCAGCCTCTGCTGCTGATACCCAGGCAAACAGGGTCTGGAGTGGACCTCCAGCAAACTCCAACAGACCTGCAGCTGAGGGTCCTGACTGTTAGAAGGAAAACTAACAAACAGAAAGAACATCCACACCAAAACCCCATCTGTACGTCACCATCATCAAAGACCAAAGGTAGATAAAACCACAAAGATGGGGAAAAAACAGAGCAGAAAAATTGAAAATTCTAAAACTCAGAGTGCCTCTCCTCCTCCAAAGGAATGCAGCTCCTCACCAGCAACGGAACAAAGCTAGACGGAGAATGACTTTGATGAGCTGAGAGAAGAAGGCTTCAGACGATCAAACTTCTCCAAGCTAAAGGAGGAAGTTCAAACCCATTGCAAAGAAGTTAAAAACCTTGAAACAAGATTAGACGAATGGCTAACTAGAATAACCAATGCAGAGAAGTCCTTAAAGGACCTGATGGAGCTGAAAACCATGGCAGGAGAACTACGTGATGCGTGCACAAGATTCAGTAGCCGATTCAATCAACTGGAAGAAAGGGTAACAGAGATTGAAGATCAAATGAATGAAATGAAGCAAGAAGAGAAGTTTAGAGAAAAAAGAATAAAAAGAAATGAACAAAGCCTCCAAGAAATATGGGACTATGTGAAAAGACCAAATCTACGTTGGCTTGGTGTACCTGAAAGTGACAGGGAGAATGGAACCAAGTTGGAAAACACTCTGCAGGATATTATCCAGGAGAACTTCCCCAACCTAGCAAGGCAGACCAACATTCAAATTCAGGAAATGCAGAGAATGCCATAAAGATACTCCGTGAGAAGAGCAACTCCAAGACACATTAATTGTCAGATTCACCAAAGTTGAAATGAAGGAAAAAATGTTAAGGGCAGCCAGAGAGAAAGGTTGGGTTACCCACAAAGGGAAGCCCATCAGACTAACAGCGGATCTCTCAGCAGAAACTCTACAAGCCAGAAGAGACTGGGGGCCAATATTCAACATTCTTAAAGAAAAGAATTTTCAACCCAGAATTTCATATCCAGCCAAACTAAGCTTCATAAGTGAAGGAGAAATAAAATACTTTACAGACAAGCAAATGCTCAGAAATTTTGTCACCTCCAGGCCTGCCCTACGAGAGCTCCTGAAGGAAGCACTAAACATGGAAAGGAACAACTGGTACCAGCCACTGCAAAAACATGCCAAATTGTAAAGACCATCGATGCTAGGAAGAAACTGCATCAACTAACAAGCAAAATAACCAGCTAACATCATAATGACAGGATCAAATTCACACATAACAATATTAACCTTAAATGTAAATGGGCTAAATGTTCCAATTAAAAGACACAGACTGGCAAATTGGATAAAGAGTCAAGACCCATCAGTGTGCTGTATTCAGGAAACCCATCTCATGTGCAGAGACACACATAGGCTCAAAATAAAGGGATGGAGGAAGATCTACCAAGCAAATGGAAAACAAAAAAAGGCAGGGGTTGCAATCCCAGTCTCTGATAAAACAGACTTTAAACCAACAAAGATCAAAAGAGACAAAGAAGGCCATTACATAATGGTAAAGGGATCAATTCAACAAGAAGAGCTAACTATCCTAAATAGATATGCACCCAATACAGGAGCACCCAGATCCATAAAGCAAGTCCTGAGTGACCTACAAAGAGACTTAGACTCCCACACAATAATAATGGGAGACTTTAACACCCCACTGTCAACATTAGACAGATCAACGAGACAGAAAGTTAGCAAGGATATCCAGGAATTGAACTCAGTTCTGCACCAAGCGGACCTAATAGACATCTACAGAACTCTCCACCCCAAATCAACAGAATGTACATTCTTCTCAGCACCACACCGCACTTATTCCAAAATTGACCACATAGTTGGAAGTAAAGCACTCCTCAGCAAATATAAAAGAACAGAAATTATAACAAACTGTTGCTCAGACCACAGTGCAACCAAACTAGAACTCAGGATTAACAAACTCACTCAAAACCGCTCAACTACATGGAAACTGAACAACCTGCTCCTGAATGACTACTGGGTACATAATGAAATGAAGGCACAAATAAAGATGTTCTTTGAAACCAATGAGAACAAAGACACAGCATACCAGAATCTCTGGGACACATTTAAAGCAATGTGTAGAGGGAAATTTATAGCACTAAATGCCCACAAGAGAAAGCAGGAAAGATCTAAAATTGACACCCTAACATCACGATTAAAAGAACTAGAGAAGCAAGAGCAAACTTTACATTCAAAAGACAGCAGAAGGCAAGAAATAAGTAAGATCAGAGCAGAACTTAAGGAGATAGAGACATAAAAAACCCTTCAAAAAATCAATGAATCCAGGAGGTGGTTTTTTGAAAAGATCAACAAAATTGATAGACCGCTAGCAAGACTAATAAAGAAGAAAAGAGAGAAGAATCAAATAGACACAATAAAAAATGATAAAGGGGATATCACCACCGATCCCACAGATATACAGACTACCATCAGAGAATACTATAAACACCTCTACGCAAATAAACTAGAAAATCTAGAAGAAATGGATAAATTCCTCAACACATACACCCTCCCAAGACTAAACCAGGAAGAAGTTGAATCTCTGAATAGACCAATAACAGGCTCTGAAATTGAGTCAATAATTAATAGCTTACCAACCAAAAAAAGTCCAGGACCAGATGGATTCACAGCCAAATTCTACCAGAGGTACAAGGAGGAGCTGGTACCATTCCTTCTGAAACTATTCCAATCAATAGAAAAAAGGGAATCCTCCCTAACTCATTTTATGAGGCCAGCATCATTCTGATACCAAAGCCTGGCAGAGACACAACAACAAAAAAAAGAATTTTAGACCAATATCCCTGATGAACATCAATGCGAAAATCCTCAATAAAATACTGGCAAACTGAATCCAGCAGCACATCAAAAAGTTTATCCATTGCAATCAAGTTGGCTTTGTCCCTGGGATGCAAGGCTGGTTCAACATATGCAAATCAATAAACATAATCCATCACATAAACTGAACCAATGACAAAAACCACATGATTATCTCAATAGATGCAGAAAAGGCCTTTGACAAAATTCAACAGCCCTTCATGCTAAAAACTCTCAATACACTAGATATTGATGAAACGTATCTCAAAATAATAAGAGCTATTTATGACAAACCCACAGTCAATATCATACTGAATGGGCAAAAACTGGAAGTATTCCCTTTGAAAACTGGCACAAGACAGGGATGCCGTCTCTCGCCACTCCTATTCAACATAATGTTGGAAGTTCTGGCCAGGGCAATCAGGCAAGAGAAAGAAATAAAGGGTATTCAATTAGGAAAAGAGGAAGTCAAATTGTCCCTGTTTGCAGATGACATGATTGTATATCTAGAAAACCCCATCATCTCAGCCCAAAATCTCCTTAAGCTGATAAGCAACTTCAGCAAAGTCTCAGGATATAAAATCAATGTGCAAGAATCACAAGCATTTCTGTACACCAATAACAGACAAACAGAGAGCCAAATCATGAGTGAACTCCCATTCACGATTGCTGCAAAGAGAATAAAATACCTAGGAATCCAACTTACAAAGGATATGAAGGACCTCTTCAAGGAGAACTACAAACCACTGCTCAACAAAATAAAAGAGGACACAAACAAATGGAAGAATATTCCATGCTCATGGATAGGAAAAATCAATATCGTGAAAATGGCCATATTGCCCAAGGTAATTTACACTTTCAATGCCATCCCCATCAAGCTACCAATGACTTTCTTCACAGAATTGGAAAAAGCTACTTTAAAGTTCATATGGAACCAAAAAAAAAGCCTGCATTGCCAATACAATCCTAAGCCAAAAGAACAAAGCTGGAGGCATCACGCTACTTGACTTCAAACTATACTACAAGGCTACAGTAACCACAACAGCATGGTACTGGTACCAAAACAGAGATATAGACCAATGGAACAGAACAGAGGCCTCAGAAATGACACCCCACATCTACAGCCATCTGATCTTTGACAAACCTGACAAAAACAAGAAATGGGGAAATGATTCCGTATTTAATAAATGGTGCTGGGAAAACTGGCTAGCCATATGTAGAAAGCTGAAACAGGATCCCTTCCTTACACCTTATACAAAAATTAATTCAAGATGGATTAAAGAATTAAATGTTAGACCTAAAACCATAAAAACCCTAGAAGAAAACCTAGGCAATACCATTCAGGACATAGGCATGGGCAAGAACTTCATGACTAAAACACCAAAAGCAACGGCAACAAAAGCCAAAATAGACAAATGGGATCTAATTAAACTAAAGAGCTTCTGCACAGTAAAAGAAACTAATATCAGAGTGAACAAGCAACTTATAGAATGGGAGAAAATTTTTGCAATCTACCCATCTGACAAAGGGCTAATATCCAGAATCTACAAAGAACTTAAACAAATTTACAAGAAAGAAACAAACAACCCCATCAAAAAGTGGGCCAAGGATATAAACAGACACTTCTCAAAAGAAGACATTTATGCAGCCAATAGACACATGAAAAAATGCTCATCATCACTGGTCATCAGAGAAATGCAAATCAAAACCACAATGAGATAGCATTCATGCCAGTTAGAATGGTGATATTAAAAAGTCAGGAAACAACAGATACTGGAGAGGGTGTGGAGAAATAGGATCACTTTTACACTGTCAGTGGGAGTGTAAACTAGTTCAACCATTGTACAAGTCAGTGTGGCAATTCCTCAAGGATCTAGAACTAGAAATACCATTTGACCCAGTGATCCCATTACTGGGTATATACCCAAAGGATTATAAATCAGGCTACTATAAAGACACATGCACACATATGTTTATTGTGGCACTATTCACAATAGCAAAGACTTGACACCAACCCAAATGTCCATCAATGATAGACTGGATTAAGAAAATGTGGCACATATACACCATGGAATACTAAGCAGCCATAAAAAAGGATGAGTTCATGTCCTTTGCAGGGACATGGATGAAGTTGGAAACCATCATTCTGAGGAAACTATCACAAGGACAGAAAACCAAACACTGCATATTCTCACTCATAGGTGGAAACTGAACAATGAGAACACTTGGACACAGGGCGGCGAACATCACACACCGGGGACAGTCATGGAGAGGGGGCTGGGAGAGGGATAGCATTAGGAGAAATACCTAATGTAAATGACGAGTTAATGGGTGCAGCAAACCAACATGTATACCTATGTAACAAACCTGCACATTGTGCACTTGTACTCTAGAACTTAAAGTATAATAAAAATAAATAAATAAAATTAAAAAGGAAAAAATATATATGTAGAATATATATAATATATGTATTTATTTATTTATAGAAAGAGAAATTGAAAAAATTCTGAAAATAAATGATAATGGAAATGCAACATACCAAAACCTAAGGGATACAGTGAAAGTAATACTAAGAGGGAAGTTTATAGCTATAAGTAGCTACATCAAAAAAAAAAGAAAAACTTCAAATAAACAATACAACAATGCATCTTAAATAGCTAGAAAAGCAAGGGAAAACCAAACCCAAAATTAGTAGAAGAAAAGAAATATGAAGATCAGAACAAAAGTAAATGAGTTTGAAATGAAGAAAACAATACCAAAGATCAATGAAACAAAAAGTAAGTTTTTTGAAAAGTTAAACAAAATTGACAAATCATTAGCCAGACTAACAGAAAAAGACAGAAGACCCAAATAAATAAAATCAAACATGAAAAAAGAGACATTACAACTGATACTGCAGAAATTCAAAGGATCATCAGTGGCTACTATGGGCAACTACATGCCAATAAATTGGAAAACCTAGAAGAAATGGGTAGATTCCTAGATACATATAACCTACCAAGATTGAATGGTGAACAAAATCCAAAACCTGAACAGACCAATAGCAAGTAATCAGATAAAAGTCATAACAAAAAGTCTCCCAGCAAAGAAAAGCCCTGATGGCTTCACTGCTGAATTCTACCAAACATTTAAAGAAAAACTAATACCAATCCTGTTCAAACTGTTCCAAAAAATTCAGGAAGGAATACTTCCAAAATCATCCTACAAGGGCAGTATTACCCTGATACCAAAACCGGACAAAGACACATCAAAAAAAGGAAGCTATAGGCCAATATTACTGACAAATATTGTTGCAAAAATCCTCAACAAAATACTAGCAAATAAAAATCGACAACACATTAAAAAGATCATTCCTCATGACCAAGTGGGATTTATCCTAGGGATGCAAGGATGGTTCAAAATATGCAAGTCAATCAATGTGATACATCATATTCAACAGAATGAAAGACAAAAACCATATAATCATTTCAATTGATGCTGTAAAAACAGTCAATAAAATTCAACATTCCTTCATGATAAAGACTGTCAAAAAACTGAGTATAGAAGGAACATACCTTAACATAATAAGCCATTATGTACAACAAACCCACAGCTAGTATCATACTAAATGAATGGGGAAAAATTGAAGGCCTTTCCTCTAAGATCAGTAACACAACAAGGTTGCCTGCTTTCACCACCGTTATTGACCATAGTATTGGAAACCCTAGCTAGAGCAATCAGACAAGAGAAAGAAATAGAAGTCAAATTATCCTTGTTTGCAGATGATATAATCTTATATTTGGAAAAATCTACAAGACTCCACCAAAGAACTATTAGAACTGATAAACAAATTCAGTAAAGTTGCATAATACAAAATCAACATACAAAAATCAGTAGTAGCCAGGTACAGTGTCTCATGCCTATAATCTCAGCACTTTGGGAGATAGAGGAGGGTGTATCACTTGAGCCTGGAAGTTTAAGACCAGCCTAGGCAACTTAGGGAGACTGCATCTTTACCAAAAAAAAAAAAAAATTGTAATTAGCTGAGTGTGGTGACATGTGCCTGTGGTCCCAACTACTTGGCAGGCTGAGGTTGTAGGTTGAGACTGCAGTAAGTTGTAGTCATGCCACTGCACTCCAGCCTGGGAAATATGGCAGACCCTGTCTCTTAAAAAAGAAAAATTAATAAGGCGTGATAGTGCATACCTGTGGTCCCAGCTGCTCAGGAAGCTGAGGCAGGAGGACCACTTGAGCCCAAGAAGTCAAAGCAGCGGTGAGCTGTGTTCATACCACTGCACTCCAGACTGGGCGACAGAGCAAGACCCTGTCTCAGAAAAAAGGGAAACCCTGGACATTCCTACACCTGAGGCCTCTTCAATGGCTGCTGCCAATGACTTTGGCCACAAGGGATGATGTATGAAGGAAACATGGGCCCTGAAATAAAATTGGTCTGAATTTGAACATGGCCTTTACCATTTTTTTATTACTATGGACAAATTACCCTCATTACTGAGCATTGGTTTCTTAATATATAAACTGGGAGTAATATCCCCAATTAATAACAATGGGACATAGCAGGATGGGGTTGCCCTTTTCACCCTTTTCATCCCTCCTCTCACTCACTGGATGAGAGTTTCTACACAATAATCAATTGGTGCTGTGCTGTGCTGTGTCACTTTGCATCTGCTCATGAGAGGATATTTTGTCTTTAAGATGCCTACTCTAAAGATATGAAGAGCTAGGAAAATGGTAATTGCTGCCCTTAAGCAAGCACTTGGTGCAGTGGCAGAACAAAGTTGGAATTTTGGGGTTGGGGTAGACAAGGAAAGAGGGCTGCAGACTTAGGGAAGAAGAACACCTTGTTGGCCATGTGAGGAGCATCCAGCACTTGCTACAGTTAGTGGGAGCAAAACAGTACAGAGATAGGTAAATCATGCTGTGGACTGTGAGTATATTCTTGATCAGCCAGTGATTATTCCACTCTCTACTGCCTTTAATTGGAGATCTACATTAAGCTACACACACAAACACACACACAGCTTATCTGGGTAGGGATGAATAAGAAAACCGGTCCTTTTCACAAAGATCTGCAGCTGAAATTCACATCATCTGCATGGTCCAAAATGGGAATCCACTGATGCTGTAAGTCCATCCAGCCTAGTGGAGCATAGTGTGGGCTAGATAAGGATGATATGAAATAATGAATGCAAAACACCAGCACAGGAAGCGGAATATGGCACATGTGCAAAACACTGCCCATTCCTTGTAAAGCCAAAATAGTATGTATTTATTTAAAGGACCTGGGTCTTCGAGTCAGACAGACCTGGATATCCTGGGACTGCTCTGATCAGCATGACATACAGAAAGCTATTTGAGGCTTCATAGAGCTCAGTTCTTTGTCTGTAAATACTTTCTTTTGTGTGAAAATTAAATTAAATAGCAATAGGGCTTGTAACACATTTGACACAATTGCTGGTACTGCAATTTGTGGTGCTAATGACAACGTTAGTGATGATGATTTTCTTCTGTAGGGCACCATGTTCTCTAGGGAATGGTGAATTCTAGAGGCCAAGTCTTACCCTAAAGTTCCATGTCACCCTATGAAAAAGCATTTGGGATAAAACAGGCTTTTGAGTCCCTCTAAAAACAGAGCATGTGAGTAGTTGGTATGGGGATCCGAGTTGGGTTGGGGAAAGAGGCAATTATTTTTATTCCCTTCAGTATGTTCTATCCTCTCTGATATTTCTAAATTATCTACACTTTCTCCATCAACATTCCCTTTTTAATTTGTAAATATAACTTTTTCTCATTATAATGTAATATATATTCACTGCAGAAAAATTACCAAATATTTCAAATGATCAATTACAAATTTAAACTATCCCATGATCCTTACAGCAGAGATATGTGGTTTCATTTCCTTCTAGTCAGTTATATATTTTCCTGCTGCTGCCCCATTACTGGATGTGTGCCATTCTCTCTCTCTCTCTATCTCTCTCTCTCTCTCTCTCTCTCTCTCTCCCACCCCCAAAGTTATGACCACAGACCTCAGTGGCCCACAGCCCTGCACTCTCCAAATGCCATCTCCCAGGTCAGTTCACTCTTACAATTCCTCAGGGGGCTGTTTCTCACTTTGTTCTCTGCCCTCACATCCCTCCACTCCTTCCACACTCCCTATTTTTAGGTTATACATTTATTTCTCTTTCACGCAGGAAAAAAAGGAGGACCCAGGTGAGAAATGCATCACCATCCCATTACTATCCCCAAATCTGCACTTGTATCCTCAGCCTTCCCACCAGTGATGATGGATGATCCCCGCTCCTAAGACCACCCCTGCACTCAAGCATAAGATCAATCCTTCCTTCCCCTATATCATCAATTTCCACTCTCTACTGGCCCATCATTTCTACAGGCAGACGTGCTGTAATATCTCCCCCCAAAAAAACAAACAAAACTGGACTAAACAAATCAAAACAAAATCTTCCCATCGAAATTTATCCCTTGATCTCTGATCCCATGTCTCCCTGCAACTACTGCCCTATACTATGGCAGTCTTCATAGGACAATCTCTGAGTCTATTCTTCATGTAGTCTTTTGAAACATTGCATTTTTTGTTGTTTGTTTGTTTGTTTGTTTTTTTGATACGGGGTCTCCTTGTGTTGCCCTGGCTGGTCTTGAACTCCTGGGCTCAAGCAATTCTCTTTCCTTAGCCTCCAAAGCACTAGGATTATAGGCTTGAGCCACCACACTTGGCCTGATAGTATAATGTTCTTACACTTTTTCTTTCTTTTTTGCAAACATTTTTCCATTTTATTATGACTTTTGTCTTCCAAATTATCTAATGAATTGTTCATTTCTATGATTCTGTAATCACATTTTTAATTTCCAGAGCTCGTTCTTGTGTATAATTTTACATAAATGAGTTCCTATTTCATAAATGCCACTTATTTTCTTACATCCTTTATATATTATTGATAATAGTAGCAGGGGACTTGTTGGGTCTCCTTGTTATCTTCTTTCACGATATTATGAAATTTTCTCTCAGAATTCATAAATGTAGTGGTTTCACATTTATCTTGGTAATTTTTGCTAAATGTCCGTCTCTCTCATGACAGTGCAAGCTCCATATCATCAAGATCTTACTTTAGCTCTTCTTCTATCTTCAATGTCTAGCTAATATCTTGATTCACCTTGAAATATACACCGGATGATGGACTTTAGTGTGGTGTGGGCAGTGAAGTCACACATGCCCTTTTGTCCTCCCGAGCTCTAAGCCTAGCAGCTGCCTGTCATAGAATGTTCACGGACATTGAAATGGTTCACTTGCATGGGGTGCAGAGTCACACTCACCTACCTTATGGGCAGAGCATCAACAAAAGATGAGTCAATTAGGTGTCTGAGAGAAGATCTCCTGGCTTCAATCCAGCTTCACCACCTCCTCAACCTCTCTGAGTCACATAGTAGATTCCTGATGGGTTTTCTCTGATGATTAAATTATATATTGTCTATGTATTATACACATTATTACTGACTGAGACATATTAAGTGTCCACAATTCATAGCTAACATCATATTGATTATACTATTTTGGTTGTTTTCATTCTTTTGTTTTATAAACGATAATTCAAGGAATATTCTTGTTATATATTTTTAAAAACGTGTGATTTTCTTCTTAGGCTACATTTTTAGAAGATAAGTTTTTTGCATCAACATGATCTTCTTGAGACATTTTCCAAAAATGCTCTTTAGACACTGGGGTGTTTTTTCTTTGAGATGGGGTCTCACTCTGTTCCTCAGGCTGGAGTGCAGTGGTGTGATCACAGCTCACCGTAGCCTTGACCTCCCCGGCTCAGGCGATCCTCCTGGGACTACAGGAGGGTGCCACCATGCCTAATTTTTTTTGTATTTTTTGTAGAGATGGGGTTTCGCCATGTTGCCCTGGCTGGTCTGGAACTCCTGGACTCAAGCAATCTGCCCACCTCAGCTTCCCAAAGTGCTGGGATTACAGGCATTAAGCCAACATGCCTGACTCTTTAGAAATTGTATGCCAGTATTTAATCCCATCAACTTTTATGACAGTAAATTTCCCCTATTCTCCACTCAATATTATTATCTTTGACTTTCATCTTTGCCAAGCTAAGATATATTAAACTTCCATCCCATTTCCTAATCCACATTTTAATTTTGTTGACATTTACTTATTACTATTATATTTGACACTTGCATTTTCTATGCCAAATTATGCTCTAATATTCATTAATCCTTTTCCAAATGGGACGTAGATATTTTTAAATGTTGAATTTAAGAAAGAAAACAAGAAGCCTCTGATATCTAGGAACTGATCTGACACTTATGGCTGGGACTCCTTGTTATATGAAGCTGGCCCAATGTTCATTGTTAAGCCATGTTATTCTCCTATTGGACCACAATCACCACAAAACACCAACATTAGAAAGTTCACTCTGAGATGATGATAAAGTGAGGAAATACAAGAACACTTCATAATTTTGTCTAAGCACTCTCTCCACTAATACCAGGGGCTGATGCTTGTCTACCAATTACAGCTTTATTCTGCTCTAGTCCACCCTCACTAGAGCTAAGATTTGTTGAGACATTCAATTACAGAATTGCCCCTGCTTCCTGACGAGTACCCAATCTAGAGTGAAGCCCACTTCCTCACCCTCCCCAGGATCACCCAACCAAAGCCCAAATCCTTTAAGAATTTCTTTCTAACACCCTCTTACCAAAACACCACATGGCTCACAGCACCTATTCTTGCACTCAGGAACCAGTAATAAACCCAACTTCTTCACCCACTAGGATATGTTCCTAGTGGACTTTGGAAGAAAGCTTCGGACGCATTATTATTTTGTCTATAAATTTTTTATGTGTCTTTGAGGTTGATTATGAGAAACTGTCTGTATATATCTATGTTTGTGGTTACCAAAGAGAAGTTTTTTAATTTATAAGTACTTAAAACTACCCTCATACTTCTTTATGGTGTTTATTTTTAGGTCATGCTTAGAGAATCCTTCTTCACTGCCCAATTGTAGACACTTCATGTATTGTTCCAGCTAGGTTGTGACAATGAGGAAAGAGGAGTCCAAGGGTGAAGAAAACAAAATTGTTGGAATACAAGGGGAGGAGGGGCAGCAGGTAAAGAATTCTAAGGTTTAAGTCTCTTGTTTTATAATTTAAAAAATATGTCTACAGAGCCTTCAGCATACTTGACATATGTCATATCCAATAGTTTGTCTTGAGAAAAATGGATACTTATCTTCTCCTTGTATTCACCTGGTTAAAGCAAACAATAACAACAGAATTCCAGTGCAATATAGACAATGATTAGCCCTGGCAATGGGCATTTTTGAACACTTAAAATGTTGAGGTGATAAATCATGTTTCGGTTAATGTCTGTACCCTCCACTTATACATATACATATTAATTAGACTTTCGTGGGCTTGCTGTGTTTTAAGGACGTGTCTAAGGCCCATGTGGACAAATCCGTGACTTCTCGATGAAGATAATTTAATATATATTCAATCTGAGAGTCCCACCATATATTTTGGGGGAGATTGAAAACTATGAGCACTCTAGATATGCACTGTTAAATATGGTAACTACTGGGCATACATAGTGTAGGGTTTGTTTTTGTTTGTTTGTTTTCATTATTAGTACAAATCCATTCAATGGGCAAGATAGACCAATCTATTTTAACATAACAGAATACAAATAGTCAATGATAGGGTTTCAGGTTGTATCTAACCTTTAAGAAATTATCACTTGCTAGGACTTCCAGTACTATGTTGAAAGAAGTGGTGAAAGTGGGCGTCCTCGTCTTGTTCCAGTTCTCAGGGGGAATGCTTTCATCTTTTCTCTGTGCAGTATAAGGTTGGCTGTGGGTGTGTCATAAAGGGCTTTTATTACTTTAAGGTATGTCCCTTCTATGCTGATTTTGCTGAGGCTTTTAATCATAAAGGGATGCTGGATTTTATCGAATACTTTTTCTGCATTTTATTGAAACGATTATTTCAGAGAGAGAGAGAGAGAGGGAGGGAGGGAGGGAGAGAGAGAGAGAGAGAGATGGGGTGAAGGAACAGGCTGGGAACCTGGGAGGAGACCCGGCCGCAGGCGCGCAGCCTGGAGGCGATGGTGAGCCCTGCCACGCGTGAGTCACGGACCACCCCCGCCGCGCTCTGCTCCCCGCCTGGCTCTCTTCTTCCCAGCCCCTCCCTTCCTCCTCCTGCTCCACTGATCCCTACTCAGGCTTCTTTCGCTGAAGAATTCCAGAAGGGACAGAACTAAGGATGAAGTGTGGCATTTGAACAGGGTTTACGGCTAGATCCTAGGAGGTCATTCTAAGGGTTTACATTGCATCACCGTCTGTGGTTACAAAGAGCTTTCCGGGAGAACTTTCCATTTGTAGGTTTGGTCAGGGAGACCCTGTGATCACCCCAGTGCCCAGAGAAGGAAACTGAAGCCCAGGGTTCTGCAGAGGCTTGCCCAGGCTACACAGATCTTCAGCTAGATTCGAATAGTTAAAAATCCAGGTGATCAAAGGCGGAGCAGCGTCTTCCAAGAGCCCGGAGAGAGAGGACACCCCACTCCTGGACGTTATATTCTGCAGCCCGCTGCTGGGAAATCCCAAGGGGTATGCGACCAGGTTGGAGTATCCTGGGCCCAGGGCCCACGAAAATGGCTTTCACTGTTGGAGGGGATCTTGAATCCAGAATCTGTTCCCAAAAAAGAGAAAGAAAAGCAGATTTGGGTGACCTCAAAAGTTTCAAACTACCTTCCCACGTATCCTAAAAAAAAAAAAAAAAAAAAAAAAAAAAAAAAAAAAAAAAAAAAAACCTTCATTTTTAATATATAAAGACACTGAAAATTCAACAGTTTAAAAAAATCAATAAAATAGGAAAGTGGACAAAACACATGACAAATATTTCTTTTAAAATGATATGTAGATGGGAAGTGAGGACACAAAAATGTGGTCCATATGCGGAGCTTGCAGTGAGCCGAGATCGCGCCACTGCACTCCAGCCGGGGCCACAGAGCGAGACTCCATCTCAAAAAAAAAAAGAAAAAAAAAAAATGTGGTCCATATGATTCATCATTGGGGAAATGTAATTAAAACCATTATGAGATATTACTACACCCCTATCAGAATGAATAAAATAAGAAATAGAAATAACACCACATGCTGGATGTGGAGAAAATGGCTGAATCACTCATTGCTGGTGGGAATGTAAAATGGTACAGCCACTCTAGAAACTAGAGTATGGCGAAAAAAAAAAAAAACTAAACATGCCATTGCACTCTAGGGCATTTATCCCAGAGAAATGAACACTTAAGTTCACACCGAAATCAGCATACAGCATATAAAGGTTCGTAGCAGAGCAGAGACCTGAGCAGGAAAAAAAAAAAAAAAAAAAAAACCCACTGTCACAGCCAGACAGAATCAGTTCTGGAAACTCCCAAAAGAACTAGAAGCCACCAAGACCGGCAGCCCACCTTGGGCAGTGACAGTTTCTGCTCAAGGGAGACACAACCTGAAGAAGGAAAACAAGACCAAAATTGAGAAGCAATCTTTTAATCACAGTGTTTGCAAACACATAGCCAGGAAAGAATGTTAGCACAGAGGTCAGAAAGGCAGTCACTCATGGAGCTAGGAAAGGGAAGAGGTGTGATGGGAGGGGGCAAGCAAGGCATTTGTGGGACACTGGACAACTGTGCTTCTTGACCTAGGTGGTGCTTGTGTGGTCATAGTCGCTAGTTAAATATTGTGTACATTTGTAAGTAACTTTTCTGCATATATTTTATATCTCACAAAAAAAGAAAAGAGATCAGACTCCTCCCAGAAAAACAATGAAAGAAGGAGGTGTCACACCAAGATCAGTCAAACCTCCTTCCTACATTTGTAAATCCATCCAAGCACTAGCTCTGTGACCCTCAGATTCCTCATCTCTATTGAGACTCAGCATCTGCAAGAGTTTAAGAACAAGACCATGGGTAGATCATACTGTCATAAAATAGAATCTGTTTCTTGTGATACAACATGAGGGACCCCACCTCACCCCCCAAAATAGGTACTGAACAAAGGTTCCTATTCCCAGAAACCCCCTCTTCCATCTTTGGATTCATCCCTGAGATTGCAGAATGCTTCTGGCTGAAGGCAAAGCCCCATCTTTATGATTCCCCTCCTCCTTCGTCCACCTCTCCAAGATGTAGGCTTCTCCCTCATGCCTCAGACTCCAGGGCCTGTTCCAGGGTCAGGATCATAGTTCCCTTCTTCAGAGAGGAACTCTTAATGAAGCTGACCCAATTTGCTCTGGAGAGCACTGGAGGCACCTGCTAAGCCTCTCCCTTCAGTGGAGAGAAATTCCAGTGGAATCCCAGAGACCCTTGGCAAACCCACTGCAGACCACCCTGCTGAACCCATCTCCACACTCACCACTGCAAGGAAACTTCAAACTGAGTTCTACTAAAAAGCAATTTCGGCTCTTACACTTCCTCTTTAGTGTTCTTCTAGCTTACTAGGCAAGTAACCACAGTGTGCCTCCATTAATTAATAAATCCCCAAAACACTGGTCTTATGAACAGTGTATTGATCAGGGCTCTCCACAGAAGCAGAATGAATAGGCGACATATATCTCCAGTTGATCTGATGAGGCCCACTCACATTATGGAGGGCAATGTACATTAGTCAATTCCACTGATTTAAATGTAAATCATTTTTCGAACACACTCATGGGAATACCTAGAATAATGTTTGGCCAAATATCTGGGCTCCTTCGTGACCCAGTCATGTTGAGAAATCAAATTAATCCTCACAAGGAACAAATCAGATAATATTCACTTGGATATTAGACTAGAGCCTTGGACATACCAAGTGCTCTGTAAATGTTAGCCTTACAAATGTAAGGTGGTGTTTTAGATTTACAGAACACAGTATATCCTAAGGTATCACAGGCTTGTTGATGAACTCTGTTGGGAAAAATAATACATGGGAAATTTAGTTGTGGAAATTGAATTTTGTTATTTTATTTTTGTCTTTGCTTTTCTGTGTGAGTGAAGGAGTATAAGGCAAATTTCTGAGCACACGGGGCATGCACTAAAGGGGTTTCATTTGGCATTTGGAGCCAGTTTTGTCACACTATAGGAAAACTAAACCGTTATTTAAGAACTTCCCTGCCAGCTCTCACGTTGGGGACTGGCTGGTCCATCTAGCCTGGTTGGTTGATTCCAAAAATATGTGTAGGGAGGTAGAGTGACTAAACGTGAAGAATGGGGAACTCTGGAAGTGCAGAATTGAAGCCCAGAAGGGAACAGAAGCCTCCCTCTACTTCACAGAAGATGACTAGGACATGCTCATCCCTGGGATAGAAAATCCATTGGACTTGGAGACTCAGTGAGTTGTATTCCCGATCTCACCACTGGAGGGAGGTGGGAGAGGCATATGAGTGAGTGTGGAGGGGCTCAGAAGCCCAGCCAGCTAGTGTGCAGGTTGCCCTGCAGATTCTCACCAGGGCTGCTCTGAAGCCCAGAGGGCACCCCAGAGGAGGAAGGGAATGACAAAGCCTGCCTGGGGTCACAGGAAAAGAGGAGAGAGGCAGACTGAAGGAAGCCCAAGACTACAAAGTGAAAGAAAATGCCTTTTAGTCACTCAAGACATTGTCAGACACAGACTGGGAGCAGTGGCTCACACCTATAATATTAGCACTATGGTAGGCTGAGGTGAGGCCGGGAGTTCAAGACCAGCCTGGACAACAATGCAAGACCCTATCTCTACAAGAAATAAATTAATAAAAGACTTCTTCGGACATGACTAGAACCCAAGAGGTGGGTACCTGGTAGAGTTATATGGGAAGAATGGAGCAATGGGTTTGGCAGTTGGGGTGGGGAAACAGGGAGGAAGGGAATGAAAAAAACTCTTGAGGGTAGATGATGGTGCCAGTCTGAGAATCAAGCACCAGTTCCATTCTACTGTGCATCTAGTCACGTTGGCATAGACTTCCAGGCAGGAGGAGGAGCAAGCGGTGGGATCAGCTACATGTGGGCTTCCAAAGGTAATCCCAGGTGCCACCTCTCCTCCATACTTACTAGGAATCCCAGGCCCTTCCCTGAAGTGACACCATCCTGCATTCTTTGTACCTCTCTTTCCACTTCTTCTCACAGCTTTTCCCTCCCTCCTCCATTCTCCTGGCCAGGACCCACACTCACCCCACCTAACCTCTCTCTTTTGATCAGTCCCATAGTTCAGAAAGGAACAGAAATGCCAGCTGAATAAAAATTTATTTCGTGCTCTCTGGGCATGTATTTGAGAACAATAACATTGTTTCCGGTCTCAATGCACTTTCACCACATCTGATTTTCAGCTATGTGGGGAAGGCCATCTATCTGATCAACCCATCACCCAGTGAAGGAAACTGAGGCCCAGAGCCCTGAGGATGCTTGCCCAAATCACCCTGCCCTTCAGCTAAATCACCCAGAACAGGATCTTGCAAGGGCCCTAAGAGTCAGAGAAGACAGCAGCCCCTCGTGTTGGATTCTCCTGCCTGCCCAGGAAACTGGGTGGGAACCATTCAGATTCTTCCTGCATGAAAAGGGTGACCTGTGTCCTTGGGGATCCTCCAGTGGCCCTAGTTGCTCCTGCTGGGGATGACCTCAACTCCTGAATCCAACCCTGTAAAATAAGAAGAAATTCAGACATTGCAAGGCATGAAAAATTTTCTCCCAATAGCAAAGGTGAAGGATGTACTCGGAGAGGAGGGAACATACCAAGAAGAGAAGGAAGGAATATATATTGAAAAGAATACAAAACAAAAATAAACAGACCAAGACGTGGGATGTATAGAATCAGGCATCAACCCATGAAAAGGTGAAAAGGTGAAAAGGCAACAGGACCAGAAAGGAAGAGGGTCGCCTGGGTGGGTGGACAGCACAGCAGAGGGGACGCCATCTCCAAGAAGATGACCTTGACAAGAGCCACCATAAGTTTAAAGGTATGGAGAAGACATTTACTCAACTAAGGGACAGTTGGTGAATTCATTTGTTAAGGTTCATGGAAAGTAAGAAAATGAAAACGCCGGGCAATTATCAATTCTCTGAAAACATCAACATGTATGGAAAGAAAAACTAAGAGAGTTTACCATGTGGCTCAGGTCTGAGTAGCATTCACGTAAGTCAGTAATTTTAACTCTGGCTCTCAATGCACTCAAAATCTCCACCTGCCTACATGAGGAGGATGAAAATGTGTGTGCTGTGGAAGGTACTATGGACTGAAGGGATTTTGAAAAGTCAATACTTAATATCTAAAATGGAAATGTTTGAAGTGGCATAAATGTATATTATCAAGAGACATAAAGATAAAGAACAACATATGAAGTAAAAGGCTTCTATGTGGTTGTTTGCCAGGAAGCTGGTGGCTAGGAAGGATTGAGAGGGAGTAGAGGGGAGACCATGTTTTGTAACAGGGGAAATGAAAGGGAAGCAGGTAGCACCTGGAGCCTGCCTCATGTAGAGAACAGGGTTCCACGCAGTGGTCCAGGATCTCAGGGACTTACTGTGGCTGAGGCCACCTGCCCCCAGGACAAGCCCTTGGCACTGAGTCTACTGAAATGTGGGCAGGGAGAAGAGGAGGCCTTCGGACCTTTTACCTGAGCAGCCTGGTTTACTCTAGGCTCTGTCTTGTTTCCTGTCCAGAGATTAATGCAACAAACTGTCTCCAAATTCATCCAAGGGAGTGGAGTTCCTTCCCCTACTCCCGATCCCCCTCAACACCATCCTTTCTGGAAGTGTTATTCTGAACATGTTCTCGGATTTGTTTTTATCAGTGGAGAAAGAGAGGATAGAAGAGCACTCACCCAGCAGAGCCAGAGGGAGGCAGCTCCAAGGACTCCAGTGGCCACCAGAGCCCACCAGGACCCAGGGCTGGAGGTGCACAGTGAGATCCTCAGCGCAGAGGGAGAAATCTCCTAAGGGTAGGAAGGAATAACAGAATTGGGGAGCATTTCCTTACTTCACAGCAAGTGCAAACATGATGGGAAGGCATAGAGAAAAAGGAAGAAATTATAGGGAAATGTGCTTATTTAGGGGGAGGCAATACTGCGGGAGGGGTACAACAGACCCAGCACTGGTGGGGGCTAGGAGAAACAGGTATAATCCTTGACTAGAGAATGGATACTTGAGGTCAGAATAGTTACTAAATGAAGAGGATTACATACATTTTAAGGACGTTGATTTACGTTATACTTTGTCATTGGAATTTAAGGGAAAAGAAAGGAAATTAATAAATAAAAACAGGCTGCATGTGGTAAAATCAATAGTCAGCCCTGGGACTTGTGTTTGCAAAATGCTTTATCCAGGTGCGACACCGCTGACGTCCTGGATTCCCCACCCTCTAGCACCCAGTTCCCTCTCCTGTAATGAGACCGGGGTCAGGAGGAGAGATGGACAGATGAGCCCATGCTGAAGGCAGTCAGTCATCTGTGCCTGCAGATGAGAAACTGCAGTTTGCACCACTAGCCTCCAGCACAGAGATTCCATCCCAGCTCAGTATTTAGTATTTAGAGATGTAGTATTTAGTATTTAGAGATTCCTAAACACTGAGGGGCTCTGCCCAGTCTCCTTCCTCACACTGTGGGGCCTTGGCTTTCCCTCCCAACTCCACACCCCCAAATGCTGGTACAATGCTCAGGTTCATCCTGGACACCGCTCCATCCGACAGGGGAACACTTTTGATCCAGACGCTTTGACAACCTCGTTCAGTCTCCTCTGGAGAGAGCCGCCAAACCCTTTGCTGATGAGCTGAGACTGACCGGGGAACTGTGATCTCGGATGTGGTTGAGGATCAAAATCAAAATTATAGTCGACTCTTAAAGACCAAGTAGGCTCTAACCACGGAATTCCTCTCTACCCACTGATTCCCCCAAAAGAGGAAGAAGCCTCTTCTCTAAGTACACTAAGCTGAAAAACTAAGCTGAAGTACTAAGTACATTCAGCTTTCACTAAGCTGAAACAGCAAAGCGCTGAAACAGCAAACCGCAGGCATAACAGAAAAACCTCAACTTAAATAGTGCTGAGCTGCAACTTGTTTTCCGCGGCTTGTAGTCGAGGAGGAGCCCACGAGGCTTTAGCTGCTGCAAGATCCAAGCGCGCTCCCGCCCAGCGGTGGCCCCGGGCTCAGGGAACCAGCGCTGCTTCTCTCCGAGGCTCGCGGCCTGAGAAACCTTCCGCTCCGAATGCGGGCTGGCCTCTCCGGGAAGCCTTGAAACTCAACTCCTGGGTGGGCCAGGAAGGTTGTCCGAGTTGGGCAGCGCCGGCCGGGGCCCCCCTCAGAGCCGAGCTGCTCGCCTCCCTCGAGACCCAGCGCAGCCTGGAGGAGAGACCGGGTCCTCTCAGGTGGGGCACTTGGTGACTAGAGACCCCATGAGCCCCCACCCTCCAGCCTGGGGCGGGATAGCCCAATCGGATGCTGGGGGGTCCGTTTGGAAACCACTCTCTGCTTTGAGGACACGCGCGGAGCTTCCCTGGGAGCAGGAGGCTCTGAAGGAAGAGGGGCAGACGCGAAGCCTCTGGCCAGCCGCGCCTCCGGTCCAGGCCTCCCTGTGTCCACATCAGGTCTCCCGGCTTTTCACAACAGTGACCTTGACAGCGCCCAGAGTCCGCGGCTTCCATCCAGTCCCCTCTTCCCCTGCGAGGCCGAGAGGGTGCAGAGCTGGTGGCTTCAGGAGGTGGCTGTGAGCGCGGGTCTGGGGCCAAGAGCAGAGGACAGGAGAAGACTGCCAAGCCACCACCGGTCCTGCGACATATTCACCAGCTGCCGGCGGCGAGGTCAGACCCCAGATTCGGGTTTGCCCAGCAGGCGCTCGGCTTCCATGCTCGCTCTCCACCTCCCTGCCTCTCTTAAGGAGGACCTGGCCCATTAGGAAGCCCGGGGCGTTCTGTGGACTGGGTGGTCAAAAATGGTGTGTGGAGGAGGGAGTCAATTGAGATTAGACGTGAAAAACGGGGAACCTGGGGACCGCAGGTTGGGGCCCAGGAGAGGACCGAAGCTTCCATCCAAGACTAAGTGAGGAACACTGCGGCAAGAGGAAGGAAGATTGAGTCGCAGTTGACTTGTGGATTTTATCGGTTTTAGTCCCTGTGTGACCGCCAGAAGTCTGCAGCTTTATCCTTGATGAGTTCTGAAGGCCCCTGAGGAGAGCTGAGCCCAAGAGACTTTTTAATTCCACGGAGGTACTTCGCCTGAGGCAGGTCTCTTCTGTGCCCAGGGAAGGAAGGCTGGGAGTGAGGGTATCTGAAAATATTCACATGAGAAAAGGTCAAGTCCATTTTTGCTATCCTGTACTGAACACAGATCAATTAACTGGTCCCAGGATTGATAGCAACAGGCCTATAACTGGTCTCCTGGTTCCTATCCAGCCCTTCCCCCATAAAGTCAGAATCCTGTCTTCTTGGAACAGTGAATCCCCAGCAGAGGACCTCAGCCTGGGCTGCCTGGAACCTGCTACCCTGCCCAGGAGCTGTCAACACCTGGAGCGCAGTGCAGGAAGAATGCAGGGGCGCTTGGTGGGGAGGTGAGTGAGTGCAGAGGGTCTCCGGGAACTCCTTGGGCCTTTGGGGTAGCTCCCTCTCAGACTGTCCTGCAGGTCCTTACAAGGCCCACTACTGAGCAGGAAGAATGTCCCCAGGAGAGGCAAAGGGTGGGGCAAAGGCGGGTATGGGGTCGCTTGCACTTTGCAGCAAACTGGAGAGTGAGATGACAGGCAAGGAGTACTGGCCCTCACATGGAAACCTATATCACACTGCCCAAAGGGAATAGGAAAGGAACCACAGCGAGGTCCACAGGGGAGGGCTGGGGGAAGCCTTACCCAGGGCGGCGAGTGCAGCCTCAGTGGCAGAAATCCCAGCGGGCCCCCTCCTGCTGCAGACCCCGCTCCTCCTGCGAGGCCCCAGACGAAGCCCGACCCCCAGCTGCCTGCGCAGCCTCCAGGCAGGGGTCGCGGGGTGCTTCGACGAGAGAGTCTGGACCAAAGCGCCAAAATCCGCCGCTGTCGCTCAGCCGCAGCCTGTTTGGGGCTGGGGAGCCTCTCCTGGTCGGTGATCGTCGCGGACAATAGACGAGACCAGAAATTAGATTTGGTTCCGGGATCAAGAACCTTTAATCAGGGAATGGAGATGGCAGGGGACGAGGCCTAAGAGATGTAGACAGCAGGTCCTGTCTGCTTAGGTCGCAAAGGGGAAGAAGGGGCGGGACTCGGGGTCCTGGACTGGGGCTGGGAAGGGTCCGCTCCAGGAGGGTGTGGGTTCCGATGCCTGGGTCCTGGAGGTCCGGGGAGTCGCGGAGGGACCTCCCTCCGGTAACCGACGGATTGGGGACAAATGCTCTGCCCAGTCTGATCCCAGACATCCTTGTAACCCAATATAGTTACAGCTCCGACGCCATGTTCTTCCTGGGTCCAGCTCCAACGCCATGTCCTTCCTGGGTCCCTCCAAAGTAGGGTTGGAGGATCAACTAGTGGATTCCGGCGAGGAGGTATCTTCCTCCCTGGAAGCAGCAGAACAAATTTCAGGGACTCGGGAGTCCAAGGCCTCATTCCAAAAACACTGAGAGATTGGGTACTGGGCGCACAGTATGTCTGTGGGGTCACGCAGACCTGGGAACCAGATCTTAGGGCCTGCAGACCTCCCTCTGCCTTGAGATCAGACTCCACCGCCAGTAACTGGGAGGAAACATCTGTACTCCAGGATTTAGAGACACCGACACGGGAGCAGGGCGCCCCCGTGTGCACAGAGCCCTGTTCTGCAGCTGGAAACCGAACGGGACCCTGTGGAAGTCGCGGGTGGGGAAGCGAAAGGGGAGCTGAGCGTCTGTCCTCAGTCCTTGGGCCACACGGGGGCGCTGCCGCTCTGCGCTCGGATTCTGATGAGCCGCTCTGGAGAGGATGGGGCGGTGGTCTGAGTAAGACACAGATTGTTGATCCAGAAAGGATGTATCAATGAGGTGGGGCTGGGGTTGTCCAGGGAGTGGAAAGGCCTTCTGAGAAGCCCTGGACTGCGCGGGGTTCCGGCTCTGCGGAACAGAGGAGGGCTCTGGAGCGGCCTGTCTCTGAGGTTTCCAACTCCTCCTTGCAAACCCTCCCTCCAGCCTTTTCATGGCAACACTCCAGGAAAATGGAAAGTTGATCATTTTTTTCTTCCACTCCTTAATCCTTTCCTGACTGCTACTTTTAAATAATTTTATTTTAGAAGAGTTTTAAATTTACATAAAAGTTGCAATGGTAGTACAGAGTTGCCATCCGCTCCACAGTCAGTTTCCCCTGATGTTAACATCTCTCATTACTATGGTCCATTTGTCACAGCTAATGAAGCCATTTTCATACCTTATTATTACTAAACTGCAGACTTTATTTGGAGTTCATTAGCGTTCCCCTAATGTCCTTTCTGTGTTTCAGGATTCCATGGAGAATATCACACTACATTTAGTCTCCGTCGTGCCTCCGCGGCATCCTCTGGTCTGTGACAGTTCCTGAGATTTTCCTAATTTTTGATGCCCTTCACAATATTGGGAAGTACTGACCAGATATATTGTAAAATGTCCCTCAAACTGAATTTAGTTGGGGTGTAGATCATGGTTAGACTATGGTTATGGGTGTTTAGATGAGGTGAAGTGCTATTCTCCAAACACCTTATCAAGGTTATAGAATATCAATTTCATGTACCACTGTTGATGTTGAAGTTGATCACCTGGTATATTAGCTTCCTGTAGCTGCCACAACAAATGCCCTCAAAGTTGGCAACTTACAACAACAGAAAATTATTCTTTCACAGTTCTGGAGGCCCAAACTGCAAAATCAATATGCAGGGCCTCACTCCCTCTGAAAGCTCTAAGAGCAAATCCATTCCTTGAGTCCTCCAGCTCTGGCAGCTGCAGGGCATTGGTCAGCGTTCTTTGGCTTGTAGCCCCATTGCTCTAGTCTCTGCCTCATTCTTCACATCACCTTCTCCTCTTCTGACTCTCTCTTCTGTGTACCTGTTAGAAAGACACTTGTCATTGGATCTAGAGCCCACCTGGGTCATCTAGGAGGATCTCCTCATTTCAGTATCCTCCGCTTAATTACATCTGCAAAGACCCTTTTTTTCCAAACAACTTGACATTCACAGCTGCTGGGCACTAAGACAGAAACATATCTTTATGGGGTCCACCATTCAACCCACTACATCTGGCTAAGCTAATATTTCCAGAATGGCAATCCATCAGTGCACCCTAGGTTACAATCCTCATTCTCATTCCCAAATAAACTCAACATATTTGGACATTTCTAATGTCATGTTTTTTAGGTTGAATAATCTAGTGTCAGAAATGATCCTGAAGAAAGATTATCTTTGGAAGAGACTTATACTGAGTTTGTTGCTTGATTTTTCCTCTGCTTCTGAATATCTTTTGAGAGCAAAATTTACTTTCTAAAATGGTAAGGATGAGTCAACTCCTTAAAAGCTGTTTGGGCTGTTGTCACCATTCTATGTGAGCCTTCAGTCTCCCCAAAGAGAAATTTTTTGTTGTCAGGATAAAGTGGTACATGAATAAACAAGATTTCCATTAGGCAGCGTGCCAGTCTCAAGAAAATTCTGGAGAAAATGGTGACAGGATAGACAATTAGATCACAGGCTGCCTGCACATCAAGTAAAAACAAAAATCCTATGCTAGGCACACACTATTAAAAAACAAATCGCTCCAACCCCTACCATTTCCTCACAGAGATTATAGAATTTTTCTTTTGCTGTTGAGAAATTAATAAGAGGCAGAACAGGATGCCAAAACTCCAAAGCATCCAATATAGGCCCTCTTCTGGGACTCCTGTCAGCTATATGTTCAAAAATTATTGTCAGTGGCTCATGCCTGTAATCCCAGCACCTTGGGAGGCCGAGGTGGAAAGATTGCTTAAGCTCATGAGTTTGAAACCATCCTGGGCAACATAGCAAGAGTTCATCTCTATTTTAAAAAATTAAGGCCGGTCGTGGTGCCTCACGCCTGTAATCCCAGCATTTTGGGAGGCCCAGGCAAGCGGATCGCCTGAATTTGGGAGTTGGAGGCCAACCTGACCAACATGGAGAAACCCCGTGTCTAATAAAAATACAAATTCAGCCAGATGTGGTTGCGCATACCTGTAATCCCAGCTACTCGGGAGGCTGCGGCAGGAGTACAGCTTGAACTCGGGAGGCAGAGGTTGCAGTGAGCCGAGATCATGCCATTGCACTCCAGCGTGGGAGAAAAGAGGGAAACTTCATGTCAAAAAAAAATAAAAATAAATAAGAAAAGAAAAAAATTAAGGTCGTCTCTTGTGTACTTTTTAAAATCAATGGATAGAGTATAGCAAAGTTAATTTGGATCTTCAATGGCCATCCTTGGGGTCTTTTGAGTTCCCCAAACTTGTCTTTCTTAAAACTAAAGTAGGCTGGGCGCGGTGGCTCACGCCGGTAATCCCAGCACTTTGGGAAGTCGAGGCGGGCAGATCACGAGGTCAGGAGATTAAGACCATCCTGGCTTGCACGGTGAAACCTCGTCTCTACTAAAAACACAAAAAAATTAGCTGGGCATGGTGGCAGGTGCCTGTAGTCCCAGCTACTCTGGGAGGCTGAGGCAGAAGAATGGTGTGAATCCGGGAGGCGGAGCTTGCAGTGAGCCCAGATCCAGCCACTGCACTACAGCCTGCCGACAGAGTGAGAATCCATCTTAAAAAAAAAAAAAAAGAAAAGAAAAGAAAAGAAAAAAGAAAGAAATTTCTGCATTACCTATGGATGTTAAATCTACTTGAGTAGACTTTAATTCCAAGTTTGTGAATAGCTTTTCTTCAAAACATGCTGAACTTGGTAAAAGAGCCAGCAATTTAGGGAAACTATGTGCAGTTCTGATCTTGTCCATTTGATAAATCACCTGCCTGTCCCCTTGAGGACCCTACTAAGAAAACTGCTTAAAAACTTTTTTTAAAATTTTTTCTTTTTGAGATGAAGTCTCACTCTGTCACCAGGCTGGAGTGCAGTGGTGCAGTCTCGACTCACTGAAACCTCCACCTCCTGGGTTCAAGCAATTATCCTGCCTCAGCCTCCCGAGTAGCTGGGATTACAGGTGCCCACCACCATGCCCAGCTAATTTTTTGTATTTTTAGTAGAGACGAGGTTTCACCATGTTGGCC
>NT_167244.2:1836433-1883895 GCF_000001405.40 Homo sapiens
GGCCAGGCTGGTCTCAAACTCCTGACCTCAGGTGATCAGCCCACCTTGGCCTCCCAAAGGGCTGGGATTACAGGCGTGAGCCACCGTGCCCGGCCAAGGCAGGGTTTCTCCATGTTGGTCAGTCCGGTCTTGAACTCCCGACCTCAGGTGATCCACCCACCTCGGCCTCCCAAAGTGCTGGGATTACAGGTGTGAGCCACTGCGCCCGGCCTAATTTTTGTATTTTTAGTAGAGTAGAGCTGTGATCATGCCACTGTACTCTAGCCTGGGTGACAGAGTGAGATGAGACCCTGTCTCTTAAAAAAAAAAAAATGGCCAGGCGCCATGGCTTATGCCTGTAATCCCAACACTTTGGGAGGCTGAGGCAGGTGGATCACTTGAGGTCAGGAGTTTGAGACCAGCCTGGCCAACATAGTGAAACCCTGTCTCTACTAAAAATACAAAACTTGCCGGGCGTGGTAGAGGGCGTCAGTAATTCCAACTACTTGGGAGGATGAGGCAGGAGAATCGCTTGAAGCCAGGAGGCGGAGGTTGTAGTGAGCCAAGATCCCCCCATTGCACTCCAGCCTGGGCAACAGAGCAAGACTCCGTCTCAAAAAAAAAGAAAGAAAGAAAAGAAAAGAAAAGGAAATATGCAGTCTATTTAGGAAAGAATGCATGAGTTTGTTCATAAAGCATAACAGTGGGCGTGGGTAACCAATGAAGACTGCTCGGGATATCCATTAAGCACAAATTCCTGCGAAAATACATAAGACCACAGGCACCAGATTCCACAACAAAGTGTGTGTGTGTGTCGACATGCATGTGTGTGTGTGTGCACGCACATGCATGTGTGTGGGGGGTGTGCCTGTGTGTTTGTGTGCACATGGGTGTGTATGTGTGCTGGTGTGGAGAAAACCTGATTAATAATGTCCAAGCCACACTCCAAGACCTCTTCCACTCAGGCTGGGGTCCCAGGAGCAGATGGTGGGCAAAGGGCAGGAATAACCTGTGCCTCAAGCTGCAAACAGGATCCACAAAATAGCCAAAAGACAGTGTTCGGGGTGTAACTAAACTTATGAGGCAAAGAGGAGAGACTGGGAGAGGACTGAGAGGAAAACCAGGTGTGAGGCTGTCATGCAAAGCAGGTCCCTTGGGGTCACCACCTGTTGTTCACCAGGGCTCAGGATAAAAGCCAGAATATCGCATGCTATGGGTTAAGAAATAGGCTTTTGAGGGAATTTTCAATTCAGTGTCAGCAAGTAAAGAGAAAGCATGAGTCCAATTCCTTTTATTTTTCCATAGAAGAGCAAACCAGGCACACTACTGGACATGCAGGTGGAGGGGAGGGATGCGGCAGTGTGTTATTGCTCTCCATTATGAGTCAAGCATGAGAGCAGCCTTATCAATGAAGAGGCACACAAACAGCGTAGGCACCTAGCACTCTTGATTAGAGTGTCAGTTATTGACAGGTTGTGCTAACCTGACTTCTAAGATGGTCTCTAATGATCCCCCATCTTAGTATTCGAGTCTTTGTGGAATCCTTCCCACCTTGAGTTTGGTATGGACCTTGTCACTTAATTCTAACCAATGGAATATGACAAAGGTGAAAGTCTATCATATCCATGAGTAGACAATAAGAGTTTGTGGCTTTTATCTTGCTAGCAGACTCATTTACTGACTCAAGTAATCAAGCTGCCATGTTAAGGAGGTCCATGTGGTGAGGAACTGAGAGTGCTCTCAACTCAACATTCAAGAGGAACCAAACCTTCAGTCCTACCACCCTTCGTGCTTCCTACCAACAACTAAGTTAGTGAGCTTGGAAGCTCATCCTTTCCTAGTTGAGTCTTCAGGGAAGACCCCAACTATGATTGCAGCCTTGAGGGGCCCTGAAGAGAGGACCCAGCTATGCTGTATTGAATTGCTGTCCTTCAAATATTGTGAGATAATAAGGGTGTGTTGTTTTAAGCCACTTATTTTAGGACAATTTTTATGCTGTAATGATAACTAATATACAGGAGATGTTCAAAAATACAAGCTACCCAGGAACTGGAGACCTAGGGGCCCATGGCTAGTCACACGTCCCTCTGCCAGGAGTGAGAAAAACACCCCTGGTTCCACTGGATTCTAACTTTTGGAAACCCCACTCACTGGAAGAAGAGGGAGCCCCAGGTTCTAATGAGTTTGTTTTTCAGGCAACCCAGAATGACCTCCCAGCATCATTTCCAGACAGTGTGGCTCCTGACATCACAAATATAGTAGAATAACACCAAACTGAGTAAATAGGACAGTAGGCTGCAGACCCCCTCATGTGCCAATGATCTTTATAAAGACTTAAAACCTCACTATGCATAGAGTTGATAAAGGCACCAAATGAACCAGAGAAAGGAGACTCAAGTCAAGAAAATGTATCTCAACTAGGAAATGTTTTTGTGACCACAAAGGGGAGGAACCAGGAAGTTGTGGTAAACTGTAGCGGAAGTTAAAGCTAAAAAAAAAAATGAGAGAGAACCAGTGAATTTAAAAATACTTAACAGACATAATGACAAAAAGTAATAAGTACATCTCTTTGGATCATGAGAAAGAAGATCAGGAACGAAAGATCTAGCTGGGCCTTCCCCCACCCTCCCCAGCCTTGGTTCCCTGATTAGTGCTCCAGGCCTCTCCAGGGCCTGACACTCAATCTTCTCTTGGGAACTAATTATGGCAATGTACCACGAGGTACTGTTCCTCAGACTAAACGTGGTTTTTTGTTTGTTTGTTTGTTTTTTAGACAGGCTCTCACTCTGTCACCCAGGCTGGAGTGCAGTGGCACAATCTCAGCTCACTGCAACCTCTGCCTCCCCAGTTAAAGCAATTCTCCCACCCACTTCAGCCTCCCCAGTAGCTGGGACTACAGGTGCACGCCACCATGCCCTGCTTTATTTTTATTATTATTATTATTATTATTATTATTTGTATTTTTGGTAGAGACGAGGTTTCACCATGTTGGCCAGGCTGGTCTCAAACTCCTGGGCTCAAGTGGTCTGCCCACCTCAGATTCCCAAAGTGCTGGGATTACAGGCATGAGCCACTGTGCCCAGCGTAAACGTGGTTTCTTATGTTTTTAAATTCCCCTTGAAAATATTCTCTTGTGACCAAAAAAGACCCTTGGGTGTACAGAGAATAGGTTTTGTCATAACTGTAACTAATGTGAGCTTCCACTAAAAACCCAAGATACAAATATATTCACAACTTTATTTTTCCAGTGATCCATTCTAATACCTCTTGAGGCTTCCTGTGAAATGTCTAAGCACCCCACAGCCAAAGGGTACACTCGTAGTCCCCTTCAGTGCTAAGAACAGAAAAGAAGCTGTTGCTTTTCTCTGCTATAGGTGTTGCTGTTGAAAATTCATCCCACACAATTGATGGAGATAATTTTCACTGCTTTAGTCACCTAAACAGGCCTTGCTGATCCACATTCCTGTTCAGATTACTAGGATTCTCTAAGGGAGGGATGATTGTTGAAGCTGAGTGATGGAAACACTTTGCTATTCTTTCTAATTTTTTATAAATTTTAAGTTTTCAATAATAAAAAGTTAAAAACCAAAAATTAAAAGAATCTGACAGGCCAGATATGGTGGTTCACGCCTGTAATACTAGCACTTTGGGAGGCTGAGGCAGGAGGATCGCTTGAGGCCAGGATTTCGAGGCTAGCCTGGGCAACATAGTGAGACACTATCTCTACACAAAAAAAATTTAAATTGAAAACAAAACGGCATTCCGGCTCCTTGGAGAAACGGTCGATTCTAGGACTGGGGCATCCTATGATGTCAGAAAGTATTTACATGCTCGATTAAAAGGTGAGAACCATATCAAAGGGACACAGGAGCCAACTGGAAATAATTCCAATAGTTAAAATGGAAACAATTTGAGCAACAAAATAAGTAATAATGGAATTGGATTATAACCCATAGAATAAAATAAGTATCCATTAGCCCATATTGATAAAAGAAATTCTTAAATAAATAAATGGGAAGATGTGGCAGTACTTTTTCACAGAAGAATTCATTAGCAAAGCCTAACGGTGTGGCTAGCCTGCGTCATGACAATGGTTGGGAGAAGCAGCAAAATAGCAGACTAGCCAGAAATTTAAAAGGGAAATCAAAGGAACAAAACAGACAAAGAATGCCTTAGTAAAATACCATTTAACTTTGGTAGTTTAAAAAGCTATGTGCAGCACACAGGGTTATAACTGCTTAGAAGAGAGACTTGAGAAGGCTATAGGAAGCTACTCCTCCCTGCAACTAAATATGAGGTCTCAGAAATAAAGAGAAAGCCATGGCTCACTTGTAAACTCTCTGAACTTTGAAAGTACCCTCCAAATCACACACAGCTCCAACAGCAGGGTTAGAAGCCTTACTGGCTTAAGGCATTTAAGCACAAACTCTAACAGATCACTGGCTGACCATTAAGCTATGCTGATCCAGGGGCAACCCCTAAGAATTCAGGCTTAAAAATAAACATAAGAATTAAAAAAGGACGGGAGGCTGAGGCAGGAGAATCGCTTGAACCCAGGAGGCAGAGGTTGCAGTGAGCCGAGATCACGCCGTTGCACTCTAGCCTGGGCAACAAGAGTGAAGCTCTGTCTCAAAAACAAAAAGGAACCTGAGCAGAAATATCTGAGCAGAAATATCTGAAGCCTCATACTGCATACTGCAAGGGAAAAGGACTCCACTGAATTAGTACAGGCAAGTCACTATAAAAATATCTGAACCCTCATACTGCAAGGGAAAGGGACTCCACAGAATTAGTACAGGCAAGTCACTATAAAAACAAACAAAACAACAACCACCTTCACCCCCAAGAGAAAGAAATTGGAATCCAGAGCTAGCATATATTGTCTAAAATTTTCAGTTTTCCAAAAAAGTTACAAAAGGGCAAAGAAATAGGAAAATGCAATCCATTTGCAGGGAGAAACAGTCAATAGAAATTGTCGGCCAGGCACGGTGGCTCATGCCTGTAATCCCTGCACTTTGGGAGGCTGAGGTGTGTGGATCATTTGAGGTCAGGAGTTCGAGACCAGCCTGGCCAACATGGTGAAATCTGTCTCAATAAAAATACAAAAATTAGCTGGGCATGGTGATGCACACCTGTAATCCCAGCTACTCGGGAGGCTGAGGCAGGAGAATTGCTTGAACCACGGAGTCAGAGGTTGCAATGAGCTAATATCATGCCACTATACTCCAGCCCTGGAAATGGAGTGAGACTCTGTCTCAAAAAAAAAAAAAAAATTGATTCACACCTAAACATTAATATATTATACTGAAACTATTACCAGCCAAAAATAGAAATGACATCTTAAAAGCAATGAGAAAAAACTCATCTCATACAAATACACTCATACACACAGACACAATAATCTTAATAGCTAACCTCATCAGTAACAATGGAGGTTAGAAGGCTGTAACATGGGCTGGGTGCCGTGGCTCATGTCTATAATCCCAGCACTTTGGGAGGCTGAGGCAGGCAGATCACGAGGTCAAGAGTTCAAGACCAGCCTGGCCAACATGGTGAAACCCCATCTCTACTAAGAATATAAAAATTAGCTGGGTGTGGTGGTACATGCCTGTAATCCCAGCTACTCGGGAGGCTGAGGCAGGAGAATTGCTTGAACCCGGGAGGCGGAGGCTGCAGTGAGCCAAGATTGTGCCACTGCACTCCAGCCTGGGCAACAGAGCAAGACTCTGTCTCAAAAAAAAAAAAAATTAAAGAAGACAGTAACATATGCAAATTTGGGGGTTAGTGGGGAGAAGCTAGCAATCAAGAATTTTACATCAAGAAAAATTATCCTTCAAAACTGAAGACCGGTACAGGGACAGTGGTTTGCACCCATAATCCCAGCACTTTGGGAGGCCAAGGTGGGAGGATCGCTTGAACCCAGGAGTTCAAGACCAGCCTGGGCAACAAAGTAAGACCCTGTCTCTGCAAAAAAAAAAAAAAAAAAAATTTAGCCATGTGTGGTAGTGCACACCTGTAGTCCTAGCTACTCAGGAGGCTGAGGCAGGAGGCTCTCTTAGGCCCGAGAGATTGAGGTTGCAATGAGACATGATCATGCCACTACACTCCGGCCTGGGCAACAGAGCGAGACCCTGTCTCCAAAACCAAAATTTATTCTAAAGAAAACAAAAAGAGAAGCCAACATGAACATATTCTTAGATAAACAAAGACTAGGGAGATTTATCTCTTGCAGATATGTCTTACAAGAAACACTAATGTAATACTAAAGTAAGTTCTTCAGACTGAGAAGAAATGACACCAGATAATAATCCCAATCCAATGAAAAACAATTATTGTATGTCAATTAAAGATAAAACTTGTAGCTAGGCACAGTGGCGCACACCTGTAATCCCAGCTACTTGGGAGGCTGAGGCACAAGAATCACTTGAACCCAGCAGGTGGAGTCTGCAGTGAGCCAAGATCACACCACTGTAGTCCAGCCTGGGCAACAGAGCAAGACTCCATCTCAAAAATATTACATTAAAAAAAGTAAAATTTGTAAAAGAAACAAACAGCATCAGAAAAAATAATATGTTGGTAATTATTTTTTAAAAACTAAAAACTAAAAACTACAAATCTCTTTTTTTTCTTTTTCTTTTTTGAGAGACAAGGTCTCACTCTCTCACCCAGGATGGAGTGCAGTGGTTTGACCATCGCTCACTGCAGCCTCAAATCCTGGACTCAAGTGATCCCCTCACCTCAGCCTCCTCCTGAGTAGCTGGGACTACAGATGCACACCGCCATGCCTGGCTCCTTTTCATTTCTTAACTGTTTTAAAAGAAATTACATAAAACAACAATTATAAAATTACAGTGTTGGGTTTGTAACATCTAAAGATAATGTGTGTGTATATATGCACTCACACACATATGACAATAATGGTACAAAGGATAGGGAAAAGATGGAGTTACATTGAAACAAAGGAACCACATCAGATTGTAAGTCCAATCCACAAGAACAAATCATCAGAAACACTAAATAAGTTTCATACGAAAAACTTTAAGTGTATTTTACTAATTTCTTCTCTTAATTTTTTAAAAGACGTAGAATTTGGCTGGGCACAGTGGCTGACGCCTGTATTCCCAGCACTTTGGGAGGCCGAGGTGGGTGGATCACCTGAGTTCAGGAGTTCCAGACCAGCCTGGGAAACAGGGCAAAACCCCGTCTCTACTAAAAATACAAAAATTAGCTGGGCATGGTTGTGCTCACCTGAAATCCCAGTTACTCAGGAGGCTGAGTTGGGAGGATCTCTTGAGCCTAGAAAGCAGACGTTGCAGTGAGCCGAGATCATGCCACTTCACTCCAGCCTGGAGTACATCCCTACACCCCCTCAGGTTCAGTCTGAACTGAACAGGGGATACCTGTGAAAGGAAAATAAATCTTGGGGCCCGAAAATCACTAAGCTAAAGGGAAAAGTCAAGTTGGGAACTGCTGAGAGCAAACCTACGTCTCATTCTATTCGGTCACTCCTCTGCTTACTGAGATAAATGCTATCTGATTGCCTCCTTTGGAGAGGCTAATCAGAAACTCAAAAGAGGCCGGGCACAGTGGCTCACACCTGTAATCCTAGCACTTTGGGAGGCCGAGGCGGGTGGATCACCCGAGGCCAGGAGTTCGAGACCAGCCTGGCCAACATGGTGAAACCCCGTCTCTACTAAAAATACAAAAATTAGCTCAGCGTGGTGGCACATGCCTGTAATCCCAGCTATTCGGGAGGCTGAGGAATGAGAATCGCTTGAACCTGGGAGGTGGAGGTTACAACAAGCCAAGATCGCACCACTGCACTCCAGCCTGTGCAACAGGAGCGAGCCTCCATCTCAAAAAAAAAGAAACTCAAAAGAAAGTAACCATTTGTCTCTTATCTACCTATGACCTGGAAGCCCCCTCGCCACTTGGAGTTGTCCCACCATTGCTTCAAGTTGTCCCGCCTTTCCAGACCGAACCAATGTTAATCTTACATATGTTGATTGATGTCTCATGTCTCCCTAAAATGTATAAAACCAAGCTGTGCCCTGACAACTTGGGCACATGTCATCAGGACTTCCTAAGGCTGTGTCACCGACACACATCCTCAACCCTGACAACATAAACTTTCTAAATTAACTGAGACCTGTCTCAGATATTCAGGGTTCACACTCCCCTGGACCCCCTGACTTTCTTCAGGGCACTGGCCACTTTCTTGTCTGTCTTTGGACACTCTCCTCTAGAAGTCTTTGAAATTCTTGAGGCAGGAAGGACCAATTCCCAGCCCTGAATCTTGCATAAAGTGGGTCTTTTTTAAATGGAAATACGGCTACTCCTCAAAGGAAGGCTAGGAATTTTGCTCTGTGTGACCCTAGTCGTAGTTCTTCACAGAGGGCTCCATTTCACTTGCCTTTCCTTCTGCTTTTTTCTTCACTCGTTTCCCCACAGAGCAAGACAAAAGAAGCCGGCAAGGATGGCTCTGGTCAGGGTCTGCCTTCAGCCACCCAAATGGGATTGCAAAGAGGAGGACAGGGATGGAAAGGGGAAAGTTTGATTTGGTTTGGTTTGCTTAGTCTTTCTATTGGTACCACTTCCTTATCCCAACCTCATCATCTTCCCCGATCCCTACCAACCCACTGCAGGCATATGAGCCCTAAAATCTGGGAAAGGCTTTTTTCCCTAGGGGCCCTGGCCTCACAGACTTGCCCAGGGGGGTAAATTCTCAGTGGCTCAGTGGCACGTGCCTCACGTCCTCACCGGCAGCCTAGATAGATAGATAGATAGATAGATAGATAGATAGATGATAGATAGATATATAGTTTTTTTTTTTTTTTTTTTTTTTTTGAGACGGAGTTTCGCTCTTGCCGCTGCCCAGGCTATAGTGCAATGGCGCCATCTCGGCTCACCGCAACTTCCGCCTCCCAGGTTCAAGCGATTCTCCTGCCTCAGCCTCCCGAGTAGCTTGTATTACAGGCATGCGCCACCACACCCAGCTAATTTTGTATTTTTAGTAGAGAGGGGGTTTCTCCATGTTGTTCAGGCTGGTCTCGAACTCCCAACCTCAGGTGATCCGCCTGTCTTGGCCTCTCAAGTGCTGGGATTACAGGGGTGAGCCACCGCGCCCAGCCGGGAGCCCCTATTTTAAGGACGCTATTGCTGTGGAGGAGTAACCCCACTTTTAGGAATCCTTTTCCGTGCGAAAGGCTGTTTGAGATCAGGCGCAACAACTTCTCCCGCTCAGGTTACCCTCAGAAAGGCTATGGACCCCGGACTCCGCCCCAGATTGCATAACAACTGAGGGGTGGGTCCCTATTTCCTCTCTGGGATCTGTAGCCAATCATTCACGACGTAAACAGAACGACCGAGTTTCTCTCAGCCGAGAACTGTGGCTGCCCCTCCGGTGAAAACAGAGGAAGTGGGAGCGGCAGGAAGCGCTTTGGGACCAGGGCGACCCCTGAAGCGTAGAGGAACCAGGTCACAAGCATACGTGAATGCTCACATTCCATAGTTATCAAATGTATTCAGGTTTAAATTTTACTTTTCTAGAAAAAATGTAAATAATCCGTTGAGAATATTTAATGAAAAATGTTGGTCGTATCTTTATCTGGTCTGCGGCTCTGTCCCTGTTTCCTGGATAGGAGACTACGTCTGTATCTTGTATCACAGGAGGCACCTTCTTCCTGTTTCCTGGCACAGACTTGTAAGTGAATTTCCTGCCCGCCTCCGCCCACAGCGTAAGCCGCGCTGGAACAGCTCACTTATTGCCCCAGATGTATGTGGAGTAACCGCCTTCAGTTTCCTGGTTCTGAGTTTCCGTGTTACTCAAGCAATGCTTCTGCTGAATTTGTCTTTTTTTTTTTTTTTTTGAGACAGAGTCTTGCTTTGTCGCCCAGACTGGAGTGCAATGGCGTGGTCTCGGCTCACTGCAGCCTCCACCTCCTGGGTTCAAGCGAGTCTCCTGCCTCAGCCTCCTGAGTGTGCAACTTATCTTTTTATTTTATTTATTTATAATTTTTTGGCTAATTTTGGCTATTTTGTGTCTGTGTGTGTATTTTTAGTAGACATGGGGTTTCACCATGTTGGGCAGGCTGGTCTCGAACTCCTGACCTCAGGTGATCCGCCCACCTCGGCCTCCCAAAGTGCTGGAATTACAGGCGTGAGCCACCGCACCTGGCCTATTTATTTATTTATTTATTTGTGACTGAGTCTCGCTCTGTCACCCAAGCTGGAATGCAATGGCGTGATCTCGGCTCACTGCTACCTCCACGCCCCAAGTTTAAGCAATTCTCCTGCCTCAGACTCCCGAGTAGCTGGGACTACAGGTGTGCACCACCACATCCAGCTAATTTTTTGTATTTTTAGTAGAGATGGGGTTTCACCATGTTGGTCAGGCTGGTCTCGAACTCCTGACCTCAAGCGATCCACCCACCTTGGCCTCCCAAAGTGTTGGGATACAGGCGTGAGCCACTGCACCTGGTTGAATTTCTCCTTTTAATTGGAGGTTTCATTTTATTTTTCTTTATTTATTTTTTTGAGACGAAGTTGCACTCTTGTTGCCCAGGCTAGAGTGCAGTGGCGCGATCTGGGTTCACTGCAACCTCTGCCTCCCAGATGCAAGTGATTCTCCTGCCTCAGCCTCCTGAGTAGCTGGGAATACAAGCACCCACCACCATGCCCAGCTAATTTTTGTACTTTTAGTAGAGACAAGGTTTTGCCATGTTGGCCAGGGTGGTCTCAAACTCCTGAGCTCGTGATCTGCCCACCTCAGCCTCCCAAAGTGCTGGGATTACAGGCGTGAGCCACCGTGCCTGGTCTCTTTCTTTATTTTTTATTTTATTTTTTGACACCAGATCTGCTCTGTTACTCAGGCTAGAGTGCAGTGGCATTGAGAGGTGACAACCTGCTAGCAGCCCTTGCTTGCTCTTGGCGCCTCCTCGGCCTCGGTGTCTGCTCTGGCCGGGCTCGAGGAGCCCTTCAGCCCACTGCTGTGCTGTGGGGGCCCCTCTCTGGGGCTGGCTGAGGCCGGAGCCGTCTCCCTCTGCTTGGGGGGAGGTGTGGAGGGAGAGACGCCAGTGGGAACAGGGGCTGCGCGTGGTGCTCCCGGGCCAGTGGTGTTCCGGGTGGGTGCGGGCTAGGCAGGCCCTGCACTGGGGGCAAGGTTGGCGTCGCCTGCTGGGCTTGATGGGGGGGTGGGGGAGGAGCGCCCTCTGGGCTGCCGGAGTGCCCCACTAGGCGCGGCAAAGTCCCAGGAGTGCCATTGAGAGGTGAAGCCAGCTGGGCTTCTGGGTCGGGTGGGGACTTGGAGAACTTTTGTGTCTAGCTAAAGGATTGTAAATGCACCAATCAGCACTCTGTGTCTAGCTAAAGGATTGTAAACGCACCAATCAGCACTCTGTGTCTAGGTAAAGGATTGTAAACGCACCAATCAGCACTCTGTGTCTAGCTAAAAGTTTGTAAATGCACCAATCACCACTCTGTGTCTAGCTAATCTGGTGGGGATTTAGAGAACTTTTGTGTCTAGCTAAAGGATTGTAAACTCACCAATCAGCACTCTGTGTCTAGCTAAAGGATTGTAAACACACCAATAAGCACTCTGTCAAAACGGACCAATCAGCTTTCTGTAAAATGAACCAATCAGCTCTCCGTAAAATGGACCAATCAGCTCTCTGTAAAATAGAACAATCAGCAGGATGTGGGTGGGGCCGGATGGGGGAATAAAAGCAGGCCACCCAAGCCAGCGGCGGCAACATGCTCGGGTCCTCTTCCACACTGTAAAAGCTGCTTTGTTCTTTTGCTTTTTGCAGTAAATCTTAGTGCTCCTCACTCTTTGCGTCTACGCTGCTTTTATGAACTGTTAACACTCACTGTGAAGGTCTGCAGCTTCACTCCTTAAGCCAGCGAGACCACAAACCCACTGGGAGGGATAAACAACTCCAGACGGGAGGAACAAACAACTTCGGGTGCACCACCTTTATGAACTGTAGCACTCACTGCGAAGGTCTGCAGCTTCACTCCTGAGGCCAGCAAGACCACGAACCCACCAGAAGGAACGAACAACTCCAGATATGCCACCTTTAAGGGCTATAACACTCACCGCGGAAGTCTGCAGCTTCACTCCTGAAGTCAGTGAGACCATGAACCCACCAGAAGGAAGAAACTCTGGACACATCTGAACATCTGAAGGAACAAACTCTGGACACACCATCTTTAAGAACTGTAACACTCACCGCGAGGGTACACGGCTTCATTCTTGAAGTCAGCGAGACTAAGAACCCAACAATTCCGGACACAGCATGATCTTGGTTCACTACAACCTGGATCTCCCAGAGTCAAGCAATCCTCTCGTCTCAGTCTCCCAAGTAGCTGGAACTACAGGTGTGTGCCACCATGCCCCACTAATTTTTGTATTTATTGTAGAGACGGTTTCAGCATGTTGCCCAGGCTGGTCTCCAACTCCTGGACTCAAGTGATCCTCTCCACCTAGGCCTCCCACAGTGCTGGGATTACAGGAATGAGCCACCACGCCCGGCCTAATTGGAAGTTTTAGAGTGCAGTGGGGATCACGTGCGTAGAGGTTACTGCTGCCTTAATTAAAGGAGACAACATGTTTCATAAAACTTGGAAATTGTAGAGGGTGTGGGGAACCACTCAAATTCAGAATATCAAAACAGAACTTTATTTTTTGTGTATTTGTTGCCAATCTTTTTCCCTACATATGTAATGTTTGTTTGTTTGACATGACTACCATTTCTGTTTTCATAATATGTTTAATACTTTTCCTCCACTTAACAAACATGGCTACGATTTGCCAAGTTGCTGATCATCCTTTTTTTTTTTTTTCGAGACAGAGTTTCACCCTTGTTGCCCAGGCTGGAGTGCAGTGGCAGATCTCAGCTCACTACAACCTCTGCCTGCTGGGTTCAAGTGATTCTCCAGCCTCAGCCTCCCAAGTAGCTGGGATTACAGGTACCCGCCACCACTCCTGGCTAACTTTTGTATTTTTAGTAGAGACAGAGTTTTGTCAGGTTGGCCAGGCTGGTCTCAAACTCCTGACCTCCAGAGATCCACCCGCTTCAGCCTCCCAAAGTGCTGGGATAACAGGCGTGAGCCACTGAACCTGGCCCAGATCATCCTTTTAAGTGTTCTTTTTCATTTGTAGGTTTAACATTGGCTTTGGGGTGAGAAAGAAACCAAGACTCACCCAGAGTCATAAGCCCAACAAGAGAATGGGTCTGTCTGGGCTAGCCCTGGGCTACTGGATGAGCAGGGTTGGCCTTTTCATTCTCTGAGTCTTCGTTTCTCTGGCCTTTACATTTCTCTGGAGGGACTTTTCATTTTCTCTGGAAACCAACTCCAAGTGCACTTTTCCAGAAGGCATTTTTGTAATGCCTGGTTGGCTGCATGCGACCTCTGGTTTTCCTCCTTCACCCTTTCCTGCTCAGTCACTGCATTTTCTGTTCTCAAAAGAACCCTCTCATATAGCACGTGCAGAGAGCAGTAGCGAGTCAGGCTGTCCCGCGGTGTGTGTCCGGACTCCTGTGTGCTCTGGCAGTGGGGCCAGTGGGCTGGGAAGAGTTGCAGGAGAAACCCAGTGGGAGAGAAAGACTCCAACCTGGGAACCTCGGGGCATCTGGTAGCGCCAGAATGACTTTCCAAAATTTTGGTTGGGGCAGTCACAGGCCCCTGCTCGCCACGGTGGCCTCTGGCAAAGAAACACATGTGGGGCAGACAAGAGGGATGCTCGCCAATCTCCTCTGAATTTTGCAACCCTGTGTGTTAAAAACAGGTATTTCTGGTCTTTAAAGACACTTGGAAAAGACAGACTTGTTGAATACTTAGAAAGGCCAAGCCACAGCCAGAAGCTTGGTGTCTGGGATCCATCATCTCTAAGGTTTTAAAAGCATCTTGCTGGAATAGGAACAGCTCCGGTCTGCAGCTCTCAGCAAGACCAACACAGAAGATGGGTGATTTCTGCATTTCCAGCTGAGGTACCTGGTTCATCTCATTGGGACTAGTTGGACAGTGGGTGCAGCCCATGGAGGGCGAGCCAAAGCAGGGCAGGGCATCGCCTCACCTGGGAAGTGCAAGGGGTCAGGGGATTTCCCTTTCCTAGCCAAGGGAAGCCGTGACAGACTGTACCTGGAGGAACAGTACACTCCTGCCCAAATACTGGGCTTTTCCCATGGTCTTCACAACTGACAGACCAGGAGATTCCCTCCCGTGCCTGGCTCGGTGGGGCTCATGCCCATGGATCCTTGCTTACTGCCAGTGCAGCAGTCTTAAGATTGGCCTGGCATGCTGCAGCTTGTTGGGGGGGTGGGAGGGCGTCCGCCATTCCTGAGGCTTGAGTAGGCAGTTTTATGCTCACAGTGTAAACAGGCCGGGAAGCTTGAACTGGGTGGAGCCCACTGCAGCTCAGCAAGGCCTACTGCCTCTCTAGATTCCACCTCTGTGGGCAGGGCATGTCAGAACAAAAGGCAGCAGACAGCTTTGGCAGACCTAAACGCCCCTGTCTGACAGTTCTGAAGAGAGCAGTGGTTCTCCCAGCATGGCATTTGAGCTCCGAAAATGGACAGACTGCCTCCTCAAGTCGGTCCTTGACCCCCGTGTACCCTGACTGGGAGACACCTCCCAGTAGGGGCCAACAGACACCTCACACAGGCAGGTGCACCTCTGGAACAAAGCTTCCAGAGGAAGGATCAGGCAGCAATATTTGCTGTTCTGCAGCCTCCGCTAGTGATATCCAGGCAAACAGGGTCTGGAGTGGACCTCCAGCAAATTCCAACAGACCTGCAGCTGAGGGTCCTGACTGTTAGAAGGAAAACTAACAAACAGAAAGGAATAGCATCAACACCAACAAAAAGGACATCCACACCAAAACCCCATCTGTAGGTCACCAACATCAAAGACCAAAGGTAGAAAAAACCACAAAGATGGGAAGAAACCAGAGCAGAAAAGCTGAAAATTCCAAAAACCAGATTGCCTCTTCTCCTCCAAAGGATCACAGCTCCTCACCAGCAAGGGAACAAAACTGGATGGAGAATGAGTTTGACAAGTTGACAGAAGTAGGCTTCAGAAGGTTGGTAACAAACTTCTCCGAGCTAAAGGAGGATGTTCAAACCCATCGCAAGGAAGCTGAAAACCTTGAAAAAAGGTTAGACAAATGGCTAACTAGAATAAACGGTATAGAGAAGACCTTAAATGACCTGATGGAGCTGAAACCCATGGCACGAGAACTACATGACTCATGCACAAGCTTCAGTAGCTGATTCAATCAAGTGGAAGAAAGGGTATCAGTGATTGAAGATCAACTCAATGAAATAGAGCAAGAAGACAAGATTAGAGAAAAAAGAATGAAAAGAAATGAACAAAGCCTCCAAGAAATATGGGACTATGTGAAAAGACCAAATCTACATTTGACTGGTGTACCTGAAAGTGACGGGGAGAATGGAACCAAGTTACAAAATACTCTTCAGGATGTTATCCAGGAGAACTTCCCTAACCTAGCAAGGCAGGAAAACATTCAAATTTAGGAAATACAAAGAACACCACAAAGATACTTCTTAAGAAGAGCAACTCCAAGACACACAATTGTCAGATTCACCAAGGATGAAATGAAGGAAAAAATGTTAAGGGCAGCCAGAGAGAAAGGTCGGGTCACCCACAAAGGGGAGCCCATCAGACTAACAGCAGATCTCTCAGCAGAAACCTTACAAGCCAGAAGAGAGTGGGGGCCAATATTCAACATTTTTAAGAAAAGAATTTTCAAACCAGAATTTCATATCCAGCCAAACTAAGCTTCATAAGTGAAGGAGAAATAAAATCCTTTACAGACAAGCAAATGTTGAGAGATTTTGTCACCACCAGGCCTGCTTTACAAGAGCTCCTGAAGGAAGCACTAACCATGGAAAGGAACAACTGGTATCAGCCACTGCCACTGCAAAAACATGCCAAAGTGTAAAGACCATTGACACTATGAAGAAACTGCATCAATTAATGGGCAAAATAACCAGCTAACATCATAGTGACAGGATCAAATTCACCCATAACAATATTAATCTTAAATGTAAATAGGCTAAATGCCCCAACTGAAAAACAGACTGACAAATTGGATAAAAAGTCAAGACCCATCGTTGTACTGTATTCAGGAGACCCATTTCATGTGCAAAGATACAAATAGGCTCAAAATAAAGGGATGGAGGAAGATCTACCGAGCAAATGGAAAGCAAAAAAAAAATCAGGGGTTGCAATCCTCGTTTCTGACTAAAAAAAAAAAAAAAGATTTCAAACCAACAAAGATCAAAAGAGAGAAAGAAGGGCATTACATAATGGTAAAGGGATCAATTCAATAAGAAGAACTAACTATCCTAAATACATATGCACCCCAAACAGGAGCACCCAGATTCATAAAGCAAGTCCTTAGAGACCTACAAAGAGATTTAGACTCCCACACAGTAATAATGGGAGACTTTAATACCCCACTGTCAATATTAGACAGATCAATGAGACAGAAGGTTAACAAGCATATCCAGGACTTGAACTCAGCTCTGGACCAAGGGGACCGAATAGACATCTACAGAACTCTCCACCCCAAATCAACAGAATATACATTCTTCTCAGCACCACATCGCGCTTATTCTAAAATTGACCACATAATTGGAAGTAAAACACTCCTCAGCAAATATAAAAGAACAGAAATCACAACAAACTGTCTGTCAGACCACAGTGCAATCAAATTAGAACTCAGGATTAAGATTCACTCAAAACTGCACAACTACATGGAAATTGAACTACCTGCTCCTGAATGACTACTGGGTAAATAATGAAATGAAGGCAGAAATAAAGATGTTGTTTGAAACCAATGAGAACAAAGACACAACATACCAGAATCTCTGGGACACATTTAAAGCAGTGTGTAGAGGGAAATTTAGAGCACTAAATGCCCACAAGAGAAAGCAGGAAAGATCTAAAATCAACACCCTAACATCACAATTAAAAGAACTAGAGAAGCAAGAGCAAACACATTCAAAAGCTAGCAGAAGGCAAGAAATTACTAAGATCAGAGCAGAACTGATGGAGATAGAGACACAAAAAACCCTTCCAAAAAATCAGTGAATCTAGGAGCTGGTTTTTTGAAAAGATCAACAAAATTGATAGACTGCTAGCAAGACTAATAAAGAAGAAAAGAGAGAAGAATCAAATAGACACAATAAAAAATGATAAAGGGGACATCACCACCAATCCCTCAGAAATACAAACTACCATCAGGAATACTATAAACACCTCTACACGAATAAACTAGAAAATCTAGAAGAAATGAATAAATTCCTGGACACATACACCCTCCCAAGACTAAACCAGGAAGAAGTTGAATCCCTGAATAGACCAATAACAGGCTCTGAAATTGAGGCAATAATTAATAGCCTACCAACCAAAAAAAGTCCAGGACCAGACGGATTCACAGCCAAATTCTACTGGAGGTACAAAGAGGAGTTGGTACCATTCCTTCGGAAACTATTCCAATCAATAGAAAAAGAGAGAATCCTCCCTAACTCATTTCATGAGAACAGCATCATCCTGATACCAAAGCCTGGCAGAGACACAACAAAAAAAGAAAATTTAAGCCAATATCCCTGATGAACATCAATGCAAAAATCCTCAATAAAATACTGGCAAACGAAATCCAGCAGCACATCAAAAAGCTTATCCACCATGATCAAGCCGGCTTCATCCCTGGGATTCAAGGCTGGTTCAACATATGCAAATCAATAAATGTAATCCATCACATAAACAGAACCAACGACAAAAACCACATGATTATCTCAATAGATGTAGAAAAGGCCTTCGACAAAAATTCAACAACCCTTCATGCTAAAAACTCTCAATAAACTATGTATTGATGACGTATTTCAAAATAATAAGAGCTATTTATGACAAACCCACAGTCAATATCATACTGAATGGGCAAAAACTGGAAGCATTCCCTTTGAAAATTGGCACAAGACAAGGTTGCCCTCTCTCACCACTCCTAGTCAACATAGTGGTGGAAGTTCTGGCCAGGGCAATCAAGCAAGAGAAAGAAATAAAGGGTATTCAATTAGGAAAAGAGGAAGTCAAATTGTCTCTGTTTGCAGATGACATGACTGTATATTTAGAAAACACCATCATCTCAGCCCAAAATCTCCTTAAGCTGATAAGCAACTTCAGCAAAGTCTCAGGACACAAAATCATTGCACAAAAATCACAAGTATTCCTATATACCAATAACAGACAAACAGAGAGCCAAATCATGAATGGACTCCCATTCACAATTACTACAAAGAAAATAAAATACCTAGGAATCCAACTTACAAGGGATGTGAAGGACCTCTTCAAGGAGAACTACAAACCACTGCTCAACAAAATAAAAGAGGACAAACAAACGGAAGAACATTCTATGCTCATGGATAGGAAGAATCAATATCGTGAAAATGGCCATACTGCCCAAGGTAATTTATAGATTCAATGCCATCCCCATCAAGCTACCAATGACTTTCTTCACAGAATTGGAAAAAACTACTTTAAAGTTCATATGGAACAAAAAAAGAGCCCACATTGCCAAGACAATCCTAAGCAAAAAGAACAAAGCTGGAGGCAGCACGCTACCTGACTTCAAACTATAGTACAAGACTACAGTAACCAAAACAGCATGGTAGTGGTACCAAAACAGATATATAGACAAATGGAACAGAACAGAGGCCGCAGAAATAACACCACACATCTACAACCATCTGATCTTTGACAAACCTGATAAAAACAAGCATGGGGAAAGGATTTCCTGTTTAATAAATGGTGCTGGGAAAACTGGCTAGCCATATGTAGAAAGCTGAAACAGGATCCCTTCCTTACACTTTATACAAAAATTAACTCAAGATGTATTAAAGACTTAAACATAAGACCTAAAACCATAAAAACCCTAGAAGAAAACCTAGGCAATACCATTCAGGACATAGGCATGGATAAATGCTTCATGACTAAAACACCAAAAGCAATGGCAACAAAAGCCAAAATAGACAAATGGGATCTAATTAAACTAAAGAGCTTCTGCACAGCAAAAGAAACTATCATCACAGTGAACAGGCAACCTACAGAATGGGGAAAAATTTTGCAATCTACCCATCTGGCAAAGGGCTAATATCCAGAAGCTACAAAGAACTTAAACAAATTTACAACAAAAAAATCAAACAACCCCATCAACAAGTGGGCGAAGGATATGAACAGACACTTCTCAAAAGAAGACATTTATGCAGCCAAAAGACATATGAAAAAATGCTCATCATCACTGGTCACCAGAGAAATGCAAATCAAAACCACAATGAGATGCCATCTCACGCCAGTTAGAATGGTGATCATTAAAAAGTCAGGAAACAACAGATGCTGGAGAGGATGTGGAGAAATAAGAACACTTTTACACTGTTGGTGGGAGTGTAAATCAGTTCAACCATTGTGGAAGACAATGCAGCGATTCCTCAAGGATCTAGAACTAGAAATACCATTTGACCCAGCCATCCCATTACTGGGTATATACCCAAAGGATTATAAATCATGATAAGGACACATGCACATGTATGTTTATTGCGGCACTAGTCACAGTAGCAAAGACTTGGAACCAACCCAGATGTCCATCAATGATAGACTGGATTAAGAAAATGTGGCACATATACACCGTGGAATACTATGCAGCCATAAAAAAGGATGAGTTCATGTCCTTTGCAGGGACATGGATGAAGCTGGAAACCATCATTCTCAGCAAACTATCACAAGGACAGAAAACCAAACACTACATGTTCTCACTCATAAGTGGGAGTTGAACAATGAGAATACACAGACACAGGGCAGGGAACATCACACACCGAGGCCTGTGGGGGGGTTGGGGGTTAGGGAAGGGATAGCATTAGGAGAACTACCTAATGTAAATCACGAGTTGATGGGTGCAGCAAACCACCATGGCACAGGTATACCTATGTAACAAACATGCATGTTGTGCACATGTACCCCAGATCTTAAAGTATAATAAAATAAAAAATAAAAAAAATCTTCCCTACTTTTTAAACTGTATGTTGCTTTGTAGCAATACATTATGCACATTATAAAGTGTTTTAATTAGAAATTTTAGAAGATATGATAAAGAAAAATAATTTAAATAACAATTTTTATTCAAAATACAAATAATAGGGCTGGGCGCGGTGGCTGACGCCTGTAATCCTAGCACTTTGGCAGGCCGAGGCGGGCAGATCACGAGGTCAGGAGTTCAAGACCAGCCTGGCCAACATGGTGAAACCCTGTCTCTACTAAAAATACAAAAAATTAGCTGGGCGTAGTGGCGGGTGCCTGTAATCCCAGCTACTCGGGAGACTAAGGCACAAGAATCGCTTGAACCCGGGAGGCGGAGGTTGCAGTGAGCCGAGATCGCACCACTGCACTCCAGCCTAGGCGACAGAGTGAGACTGTGTCTCAAAAAAGAAAAAAAAAGAAAAGAAAAGAAAAAGAAAAAAGAATATTTTGCCCTTATAACATTATTAATTATATACTTTCAAGTGAGAGCAATATGACTAATTATGCTTAATTATTTTTGAAAATGATGCTTTAACAATTTGTAATGCAGACATTTGATGGTCTGGTTCTATGTTGAGTTCATGTTGATACTTGGTCTTAAGGACAGTTAGAGCTGATAAAAATAACTTGTGCATAGACCAGGCGCGGTGGCTCACGCCTGTAATACCAGCACTTTGGGAGTCTGAGGCGGGCGGATCACGAGATCAGGAGATGGAGACCATCCTGGCTAACACGGTGAAGCCCCGTCTCTATTAAAAATACAAAAAAAATTAGCCAGGTGCGGTGGCAGGCACCTGTAGTCCCAGCTACTTGGAAGGCTGAGGCAGGAGAATGGTGTGAACCTTGCAGTGAGCCGAGATCACGCCACTGCACTACAGCCTGGGCAACAGAGCGAAACCCCGTCTCAAAAAAAAAAAAAAAAAGAAAAAAAAAAAGAAATAACTTCTGCACACATCATAACGTTCATACATAATGAATCATTGATATACTCATTAAAATGTGACTCATCCAGGAAAATCCCATCCCTAAATTATTTAAAGTTTTTGTTTTCCCTCAGCTACTATATTTCTGTTCTACCTTATGCAAACTAATGAGAAACCATTGTCCCAAGACTGGTGGCCTCCTGGCATGGTTGTGCAACAGCTGTTGTCAAACTCCAGAGTCTAAAGTGCACCACGAAAGCCAGATGGCAGGCCAGATCCAGCCTCCCTGCTAAATGAAATGTTCACTGGCCAGGGAGAAACAACCACGTGGAAAATTAAATAAACCCATGACATTTGTAGCCAGCAGCTCGGGTGTTTTGTAGGGTTTTCCCTGAGAAGTGGGGACTAATCGCATGAATCACTTTTTTTTTCTTTTTAGAGTCTTATCTATTTGTGAGTAAATGTTTCCAATTAAAGCATTGCTACTAAGCCTCAGTTTTCTCACCTCTACCATGGAGTTAAAATGTCTACTTCACACTGTCCATAAAAGAATTAAGATGGCCGGGCGCGGTGGCTCACGCCTGTAATCCCAGCACTTTGGGAGGCCGAGGCGGACGGATCACGAGGTCAGGAGATCGAGACCATCCTGGCTAACACAGTGAAACCCCGTCTCTACTAAAAATATGAAAAACTAGCCTGGCGTGGTGGTGGACGCCTGTAGTCCCAGCTACTCAGGAGGCTAAGGCAGGAGAATGGCGTGAACCCAGGAGGCGGAGCTTGCAGTGAGCCTAGATTGTGCCACTGCACTCCAGCCTGGGCGACAGAGCAAGACTCCGTCTCAAAAAAAAAAAAAAAAAAAAAAAAAAAAAAAAAAGCCAGGCATGGTTGGTGGCTCACACCTGTAATCTCAGAACTTTGGGAAACAGGCAGGATCACTTCAGCCCAGAAGTGTGGGACCAGTCTGGGCAACATAGTGAGATCCTGTCTCTTAAAAAAAAAAGAAAAGAATCAAAATAAAACAAGAAAACAAAAACACAGAACAAGTGCATCATCATAGTGGTGACAATTTTTAGGAAACTTTTTTTGTTTTTTTCTGTGTGAACCTAACTGATCTAATAAGGGAGTGTGTGAACATTTCCATGTTGGTCCATTTTTTATGTGCCTAAATGGACAAATTCACCCAGGACCTGGCTGCTGGACTCATCCTTAGGAAGAATAAAGAAAAAGGAAGTTTATCTCTAGCATCTTTCTCTTGCCCTTGTTTTCTTCCTGGCCACAGTCATGCCCTGGATTTCAGTGTCTCTAAACATCTAGCAGCCTCTCACCCAGCATAACCCCTGTTGAGGTCCAGGGCACGATGGTGGGAGTGGGTGCAGAAGAGACAGAGAGACCACTGGTTTGAGTGTCTAGGGTTTGGGTCCTCAGGAAGAACTTGGCCCGGCGCGGTGGCTCACGCCCGTAATCCAAGCACTTCGGAGACCGAGGCGGTTGGATCACCTGAGGTCAGGAGTTTGAGACCAGCCTGGCCAACATGGTGAAACAACGTCTCTACTAAAAATACAAAAAATTAGCCAGGCGTGGTGGCAGGCACCTGTAATCCCAGCTACTCAGGAGCTTGAGGCAGGAGAATCACCTGAACTCGGGCCGCGGAGGTTGCAGTGAGCCGAGATTGCGCCAGTGCACTCCACCCTGGGCAACAAGAGTGAAACTCCGTCTCAAAAAAAGAAAAAAAAAGAAGAACTTCTTGACTTGACTCAGCAGGACTTTTTCCATGGGTCTAGAGCTAGGTGTGAAGAGAGTGAGCTCGTGGTGAGAGGAACTTGTTCATCAAAAGGAGTCCATGCCCAGTGGCAGAAGTGGAGAGGTGGGTATGGGACACACAGGGAAGCTGCTCTCTTCTGTTGTCTGTGGCTTCTGTTGGAGGATGTGCTGTGGGAATGCAAGGAGGAGATGGAAGGAAGGTGTCAATATAGCTTTAACAAAGGAAAAAAAAATGAAAACACCGAAACCACCCTTGCAAAAATTGTAACAGTGAGAAAATTATGACATTGAAAGATATCCAATCTAACCCAACTCCTTCTTGCCTTTAACCTCCAAATTGCACTTAGTCATTCCTGAGCAAAGGCCAAGCTAACTTTGGGAGAAATTTCGTTTACAGTTTAAATGATAATAGCCCTTCCCAAAACTAACCTGTCTTTGTAAAAATGATGAAAGGCCACCAGGTTAGGGAGGATGAGAGGGGCCTGAATGCAGGCTTAGATAAACAATTACCCGCCATTGTTTCAGAGGTCACAAGATTTGTAACTTCCCCAATTAGTCCTGTAAAATGATATCACTGTGGCCTTTTGAGATGTCTTTGCAGTTATTTTTTGTTTTGTTTGCTTTGAGACAAGGTCTTGCTCTGTCACCAAGGCTGGAGTGCAGTGATCATAGCTCACTGCAGTCTCTATCTCCTGGGCTCAAGTGAACCTTCCACCTCAGCCTTCCAAGTAGCTGGGACTGCAGGTGCATGCCACCATGCCTGGCCAGTTTTGTTGTTTTTTGGTTCTGGGGTGTTTTTTGCTTGTTTGTTTGTTTTGTTTTTGTATTTTTAGTAGACATGATGTCTGGCTCTGTTGTTCAGGCTGGTCTCAAACTCCTGGACTCAAGCGATCCTCCTGCCTCAGCCTCCCAAACTGCTGGGGTTACAGGCACGAGCCACCTTGCCCAGCTCAGGCTTTTCCATTTTGGAAAACCAGATGACTCCACCCAGATCCAAGACCGGTCCTATGGCCCCACTCAGAAGTGGACTCAGTGCACGAGGACCATTTTCCACATCCCTATGATTGCATCCCAATCAATCAGCAGCACCCATTCCCTAGCCACCTGCCCAGCAAACTATCTTTTTTTTTCTTTTTTTCTTGAGACTCTGTCGCCCAGGCTGTAGTGCAGTGGTGCAATCATGGCTCACAGCAGCTTCAACCTCCCTGGCCCAGCCTCCCAAGTCACTGGGACTACAGGTGTACACCACCACACCTGGCTAATTTTTAAATTTTTTGTAGAGATGGTGTCTTGCTGTGTTGTCCAGGCTGATCTCAAACTCAAGGACTCAAGCAATCCTCCTACCTCAGACTCGAAAAGTGCTGGGATTACAGGTGTAAGCTGCCATGCCCAACCCAAACTATCTTGAAAAAGCCTTCAAATTTGAGAGGAGGCTGATATAAGTAATAATAAGACTTCAGTCTCCTGTTTAACTGGCTCTATGTATATAAAACTCTTTCTCTATTGCAATTCCCCTGTCTTCATAAATTGGCTCTATCTGAGCAGCAGGCAAAATGAACCAATTGGGTGGTTACAACAGTATCAGCATATACAGTAGAATTGTAATATCCATCATATACCAACTGCAAATTAATTTTAAAAGATATATTGTTAAAAGCATATAAGTGATATAAGTAATTTACAGAAGAATAAATTCAATTGAACAATAAATATGAAATTATTTTCAACCCCTCCAGTCATATAGTAAAAGTAAATTAAAACTTTTTTTTTTTTTAGACAGAGTCTCACTCTGTCGCCCAGGGTGGAGTGCAGTGGCGCGATCTCAGCCCACCGAAACCTCTGCCTCCTGGGTTCAAGCGATTCTCCTGCCTCAGCCTCCTGAGTAGCTGGGATTACAGGCGCCCGCCACCATGCCCGGCTAATTTTTGTATTTTTAGTAGAGACGAGGTTCCACCATGTTGGCCAGGCTGGTCTCGAACTCCTGATCTCAAGTGATCCATCAACCTTGGCCTCCCAAAATGCTGGGATTACAGGCATGAGCCACTGCACCCAGCTTAAAACAATGTTTTAACCTCTTGTTGATAAGAGTGTAAACTTATCACCTTTGGGGGAAGTAATTTAGTACCTATTAATATTAAACATTTTCATAACCTTTGATTTAGCATTTCCACTTAAATTAGTGCCTTAGTTAGTTTGGGCTGCTATAACAACACCACAGCCTGGATGGCTTATAGACAACAGAGGTTTATTTTTCACAGTTCTTGGGGCTGGGAAGTTCAGGTATCAAGGCACTGGCAGTTAAGGTGCTTGGTGAAGGTCCTTTTTCTGTTCCCAGTTCACAGATGTCCCACCTTCATTTTCTTTCTTTTCCTTCTTTTTCTTTCTTTCTTTTTCTCTTTCTCTTTCTTTCTTTCTCTCTGTCTTTCTTCCTTCTTTCTTCTTTCTTTCTTTTTTTTTTTTTTTTTTAACAGATGAGGGTTTTCTCTGTCACCCAGGTGGCTGGAGTGCAATGGTGTAAGCTTGGCTCACTGCAGCCTCAACCTCCTGGGCTCAACTGATCTTCCCACCTCAGCCGCCCGAGTAGCTGGGACTACAGGTGCATGCCACCAGGCCCAGCTAAATTTTTGTAATTTTGTAGAGACGAGGTCTCATTATGTTGCCCAGGCTGGTCTTGAACTCCTGGGCTGAAGCAGTCCTCCCACCTCGGCCTCCCAGATGCTGGGATTACAGACGTGAGCCACCACACCCGGCCCATCCCACCGCCTTGCTGTGGCAGGGAGAGCAATAGCCTCTCTTCATCTCTTTATAAGGGCACCAATCCCATTATGCCCCCATGACTTTATCCAAACCTCATTATAGCCCAGGCCCCACCTCCAAAGACTATCACATTGGGAATTAGAGAGCTTCAACATACAGTTTGAGGGGACTACAAACATTCCATTCATGGCAACTAGGAATTTATAGAAACACTCCCTCTAGTGTGCAAAAAAGTAAGTACAAGAATTTTTGGGGTTTTTTTGTTTTTTGTTTTGTTTTGTTTTGTTTTGTTTTCTGAGACAGGGTCTTGCTGTCACCCAGGCATGGTACAGTAGCATAATCACAGCTCATTGAAGCCTCAACTTCCCAGGCTCAAGCAATCCTCCCCGCTCAGCTTCCCGAATAGCTAGGACTATAGGCATACACCACCACACCCAGCTAATTTTTTTTTTTTTTTTTTGAGATGGAGTCTCGCTCTGTCACCCAGGCTGGAGTGCAATGGCACGATCTCAGCTCATGGCAACCTCCGCCTCCTGGATTCAAGCAGTTCTCCTGCCTCAGCCTCCTGAGTAGCTGGGACTACAGGCGCATGCCACCACACCCAGCTAATTTTCATACTTTTAGAAGAGACAGGGTTTCACCATGTTGGCCAGGCTGGTCTCGAACTCCTGACCTCGTGATCCACCTGCCTCAGCCTCCCAAAGTGCTGGGATTACAGGTGTGAGCCACCGCGCCCAGCCTAATTTTTGTATTTTTTGTAGAGATAGGGTTTCACCATGTTGCCCAGGCTGGTTTCCAATATCTGGGTTCAAGCAATCTGCCCGCCTCAGCCTCCCAAAGTGCTGGGATTAGAGATGTGAGCCACGGCACCCACCCAAGAATGTTTTTTTGAGGCATTATGTCTACTAGTGAATAATGGGGGGGGGCCGTGGGGGGAGTACCAGAATAGTTAAAGTAGGCTGTGTATATACAATGAAATATCACAGTATCATTTTGTAAAGATCTATATGTATTGACATGGGAAAATGAGCACATCATAAATAAATAATAAAAGTTGCAGAACAATATAAACTGGAAGAAACATTTTTTTCAATCTTCCCCTCCATCCATCTTTGCTGATATATAAACAGGAAAAAGTTGGGGGAGAGAATACAGGAACACGGAACAAACAGTAAACAATGGTTATCTCATAGACGTGATTGGCGGCATTTTTGGTTTTGGTTTTCTTTTTGAGACAGAGTTTCGCTCTCTCACCCAGGCTGGAGTGAAGTGGCACGTTTTTGGCTCCCTGCAACCTCCGCCCCCCAGGTTCAAGCGATTCTCCTGCCTCAGCCTCCTAAGTAGCTGGGATTATAGGCACCTGCCACCATGCCCGGCTAATTTTTGTGTGTGTGTGTTTTTTTCAGTAGAGACGGAGTTTCACTATGTTGGCCAGGCTGGTCTTGAACTCCTGACCTCAGGTGATCTGCCCGCCTCGGCCTCCCAAAGTGCTACGATTACGGGCATGAGCCACTGCACCCTGCCATAGAGGGCATTTTTGCTTTCTGAGTTAGTCAGGGTTCTCCAGAGAAATAGAATATACATACATACGTACATACATACATACTTGCAGAGAGAGAAAGAGAGAGTGTGACTTATTTTAAGGAATTAGTTCACAAAATTGTGGAGGCTTGGTGAGTCCAAAGTCTGATAGGAGAGCCCAGCAGGCTGGAGACACAGGAAAGAGTTGCAGTTCAAGTCCAAAGGTGGTGTGCTGGAAACTTCTGACCAGAACAAAAGAGAGAGGACAGCCTTTTGTTCTAACCAGGTCTTCAACTGATTGGATGAAGCCCACCCTCATTACATTTAAAGTTCACCAATTTAAATGTAAATCTCATCCAAAAACACCTTCACAGAAACATCCAGAATAATGTTTGACTAAATATCTGGACACCATGGCCCAGACAAGTTGACACATAAAATTAAACATCGTAATGAGATCTGCTGCTATCTATGAATTTATGTTTCTAGTGTATTTGTAAGGTACATGGATCATTCCTTTATTTCTCTCTCTATATATATAGATATATATATACTTTTTATAATCATAAATATGTGTATGCATGCATATGTATGTATAAGAAAATATATATACATATAGACATAAAATTATGCATTTGTGCTAGGTACTTGTGATGGTTAATTTTATTTGTCAACTTGGCTAAGCCATGGTATTCAGATATTTGGTCAAACATTGTGGATGGTTTTGTGAGGGTATTTTGGATGTTTCAAATTGGTGCATTTTGAATAAAGCAGACTGCCCTCCACAATGTGAGTGGGCCTCATCCAATCATTCAAAGGCCTAAGACAAAAAGACTGAGGTCCCTGAGGAAGAGGGAATTCTGCCTCCACACCGCCTTTGGACCTGAGCTGTAACATCAACTCTTTGCTGCTGGCCTGCCTGCTCTGCAGATTTTGGATTTGCCAACCCCTATGATAGCATGAAACAGTTCTTTCATCTGATTGGTTCTAACTCTCTGGAACACCCTAACTAATACAGTGCTGTTATAGGTACTGAGAATAGAGTGATCAACAGGGAAGAAAACGTGCTGTCTTGGGGCCTTGCTGGCGGGTGGATGGTAGACACTCAATTGTGTGAGGCTCATTGGCCATAGAGGAACTCATGCAGGAGAAACTCACCTTGCCTAGGTTGAAAGGAGGGGAATCAGGCACATATTCCCCTCTGAGGAATATGTCAGCAGAGACTGGATGTGGCAAGACTACAGGTGGCGGGTAGGTGGGACAGAGTATTCCAGACCAGGGAACAAAAAGGGATAAAAGTCTTGGGGTGGAAAGGACATGTTTGAGAAACAGAAATAAGACCAGGTGCTGGGACCAGGAGTCCTACACTCATCACACTCAGTTACTCATGGGGTGACTTCAGAAGCCCTAAAAGATTTTGTTTCCCAATTTTTTTTTTTTTTTTGACAAGATCTTGCTCTGTTGCCCAGGCTAGAGTGCAGTGGCACGATCATAGCTCACAGCAGCCTCAATCTCTCGGGCTCAAGTGATCCACCCACCTCAGCCTCCTGAGTAGCTGGGACTACAGATGAATGCATCATGCCCAGCCGATTTCTTTTGTTTGTTTGAGATGGAGTCTCGCTCTGTCACCCCGAGTGGAGTGCAGTGGCATAATCTTGGCTCACTGCAACCTCCACTTCCCAAGTTCAAGCTATTCTCCTGCCTCAGCCTCCCTAGTAGCTGGGATTACAGATGCCCACCACCACACCCAGCTAATTTTTGTATTTTGAGTAGGGACGGGGTTTTGCCATGTTGGCCAGGCTGGTCTCGAACTACTGACCTCAAGTGATAACGCCCGCCTCAGCCTCCCAAAATGCTGGGATTACAGGCATGAGCCACTGTGCCTGGCCCAATGCAATTTTAAGATGATTTTATGTATATTGTAGGAGAGAAAAATAGGTAAATATATTAAGAGTATTAAGAGCCAAGGCTTTCGATTGCCCTGATAAAAGATATACAAATACAAAGTCCAAGAAGAGGGAAAAACCTATAATGTACAATTTGAATTGGAAATACCAATATGAATTCATGATTTTTTTTAAACCCTAAATGTGACTTAAAGCGATGACACCTCTGTAGCAACGAGCTCTCCCAGCACTAAAGACCATTCCTCACTAAAACGAATCAATGTTCCTTAGAAAGATGGCTGATTTTGGCCGGGTGCAGTGGCTCACGCCTGTAATCCCAGCACTTTGGGAGGCCGAGGCGGGCAGATCACAAGGTCAGGAGATCGAGACCATCCTGGCGAACACAGTGAGACCCTGTCTCTACTAAAAATACAAAAAAGTAGACAGGCATGGTGGTGGGCACCTGTAGTCCCAGCTACTTGGGAGGCTGAGGCAGGAGAATGGCATGAACCTGGGGACAGAGCTTGCAGTGCGCTGAGATCACGCCACTGCATTCCAGCCTGGGCGACAGAGCAAGACTCGGCCTCAAAAAAAAAAAAAAAAAAAAAAAAAGATGGCTGATTTTGGCCAAGTGCAGTGGCTCATGCCTGTAATCCCAGCAATTTGGGAGGCTAAAGGCAGGCAGATGCAGATCACTTGAGGCCAAGAGTTTGAGACCAGCCTGGCCAACATAATGAAACCCCATCTCTACTAAAAGTACAAAAATTAGCCAGGCGTAGTGGCAATGCCTATAATCCCAGTTACTCAGGAGGCTGAGGTGGGAGGATCACTTGAACTCTGGAGGCAGAGGTTGCAGTGAGCTGAGATCATGCCACTACACTTCAGCCTGGGTGACAGAGTGAGACTCTGTCTCAAGAAAAAAAAAGGAAAGAAAGAAAGAAAAAAGAAAAAGAAAAATGGCTGATTCCACATCTGGAGCTGGGAAAGTAAAAAAAAATTGTGCCTGGGACATCTAGTTGTGTCAAAAGCAAGCAAGTGCTCACAGAACTTTTGGGGTATGTCAGAATGGATGTAGGAGTTAGCTTAAAAGGGCTCCCACTGGGGCCCTCTCCCAATCTAGATCATTCTGGCCAATAAGGTGAAACCCCGTCTGTACTAAAAATACAAAAATTAGCTGGCCATGGTGGCATGCACCTGTAGTCCCAGCTACTCAGGAGGCTGAGGCAGGAGAATTGCTTGAACCCAGGAGGCAGAGGTTGCAGTGAGCCGAGATCGTACCACTGCACTCCAGCCTGGTGACAGAGTGAGACTCCATCTCAAATTAAAAAAAAAAAAAAAGGCTCCCACTGGACACATAAGGTACAGTTCGAGCACAAAAAAATAATGACTGTAACCAATTGTGAAATATTAAATGGATACCTGGCATGGTGTAGTCCCAGCACTTTGAGGCCAAGGCAGGTGGATCACTTGATCTCAGGCAACATGGCAAAACCCCATCTCTACAAAAAATACAAAAATCATCTGGGTGTGGTGGCATGCACCTGTGGTCCCAGCTACTCAGGAGGCTGAGGTAGGAGGATCACTTGAGCCTGGCAGGTTGAGGCTGCAGTGAGTGGTAATTGCGCCACTGCACTCCAGCCTGGGCAACAGACCGTGATGCTGTCTCAAAAAATAAAAGAAATACTGAATGGATAAAAACCCTAAATCTATAGTTTAAAAAAAGAAAAAAAATAAATTTTCTACCTTTGGAGATTAATATCATACCAATACCTTATTCTGAAAACTGGTAAAGGGAAATAAGCATTTACCTTGCCTTTTAGAAGGACCCTACTTTGGCCGGGCGCTGTGGCTCATGTCTGTAATCCCAGCACTTTGGGAGGCTGAGGCAGGTGGATCACTTGAGGTCAGGAGTTTGAGAAGGACCCTACTTTTTCCAGTTGGTGAGAGAAAGCTCCTTCCTAGGTAATTATGCCCTTATAAATGTAGAAGTGGGAGAATTAGAAAAGCACCTTTTGTAATTTCTGATGAAATAACCAATTCAAGCAAGAATCACTGTAGATGGCGATAAGAGAAAGTTTTTCAGCGTATACACACAGTGTCAAAGAACCATGCAGACGACTTGCTAATTGCCAAGAGGGAAACATAACCTTTACAGAAAAGATCTGACCGTGTCCATCCTAACCAAGCAATCATACTTAGCATCACTGCTTGTGGGATGGCTTCATATCATATGCCTTCTGATGTGAGGCAATGTGACATATATAGCAAGTTTGAGGAATTAGTCCCAAGACTGGGTAACCTGAATCTAACCAAGTAATTGGGGGAAAACCCCTCAAAACTCAGGGAGACAGATGAACACATTAAGTGACATCAAAGAAACAGTAAGACAAATCTAGAATGTTGAACAGTCTAAAAGACAACTGCCCTAGTATCCTCAAAGATCCAATTCCAAGAAGAAAAAAACTGGATGATTGTAGATTAAAAAGAAAGGGGTGAGAAAAGGACATAAAAAAATGCAATGTTGAAACTTGATTGGTTCCTGTTCTGGGAGTTTTTTAAAAGCTATATATTAAAACATCATGCTATACACCATAAATCTATACAATTTTTATTTGGTAATTATACTTAGGAAAAATTAAATGCTATAAAAGGCATTCAAATTGGAGAAGTTTAATGCTAGATGACATTAAAAATTATTAACTCATTAAACATGATGATTCTATTATGATTGTGTAAGAGATGTATATGACGTATTTAGGGGTGAATGGTCATGATGTCTGCAAGTTTCTTTTTTTTTGAGATGGAGTTTTGCTCTGTCACCCAGGCTAGAGTGCAGTGGCACTATCTTGGCTCACTGCAACCTCCACCTCCCAGGTTTGAGCAATTTTCCCACCTCAGCGTCCTGAGTAGCTGGGATCATAGGCATGTACCACCATGCCCGGCTAATTTTTTGTATTTTTAGTAGAGACGGGGTTTCACCATGTTGGCCAGGCTGGTCTCCAACTCCTGGCCTCAGGTGATCCGCCTACCTCGGCCTCCCAAAGTACTGGGATTACAGGTATGAGCCACCATGCCCAGCCGATGTCTCCAACTTTCAAATGGTTCAGGGCTGGGTGCAGTGCAATCCCAGCACTTTGGGAGGCCGAAGGAGGCGGATCACCTGAGGTCAGGAGTTTGAGGCCACCTTGGCCAACGTGGTGTAATCTCGTCTCCACTAAAAATACAAAAATTAGCCAGGCATGGTGGTGCACACCTGTAGTCCCAGCTAATGGGGAGGCTGAGGCAAGAGAATCACTTGAACCCGGGAGGCAGAGGTTGCAGTGAACCAAGATTGCACCACTGCACTCCAACCTGGGTGACAGAGCAAAACTCCATCTCAAAAAGAAAAAAAAAAGTTCAAATGGTTGAGAAAAGACAACACTTGTATACTGTTGGTAGGAATGTAAATTAGTACAGCTATTATGGAAAACTGTATGGCGGTTCCTCAAAAAACTAAAAATAGAATTACCATATGGGGCTGGGCACAGTGGCTCACACCTCTAATCCCATCATTTTGGGAGGCCGAGGTGAGCGGATCACCTGAAGTCGGGAGCTCGAGACCAGCCTGGCCAATATGGTGAAACCCCATTTCTACTAAAAATACAAAAATTAGTTGGGCGTGGTGGTGGGCGCCTGTAATCCCAGCTACTTGAGAGGCTGAGGCAGGAGAACCGCTTGAACCCGGGAGGCGGAGGTTGCAGTGAGCTGAGACCGTGCCATCGCACTCCAGCCTGGGCAACAAGAGTGAAACTCCATCTCAAAAAAAAAAAAAAGAATTACCATATGATCCAGCAATCTTGCGTCTGGGTATTTACTAAAGAGATTTGAAATCAGTATGTCGAGGAGATACCTGCACTCTCATGTTCGCTGCAGCACTATTAACCACAGTGAAGTTACATAGTCAAACCGAGTGTTCATCAGCAGATGAATGGATAAAGAAAATATGGTATATAGGCCGGGCGCAGTGGCTCAAGCCTGTAATCCCAGCACTTTGGGAGGTCGAGGCAGGCGGATCACGAGGTCAGGATATCGAGAGCATCCTGGCTAACACGGTGAAACCCCATCTCTACTAAAAGTACAAAAGAATTAGCTGGGCGTGGTGGCAGGCGCCTGTAGTCCCAGCTACTCTGGAGGCTGAGGCAGGAGAATCACTTCAACCTGGGAGGCGGAGTTTGCAGTGAGCTGAGATTGCACCAGTGCACTCCAACCTGGGTGACAGAGCAAGACTCCGTCTCAAAAAAAAAAAAAAAAAAGAAAGAAAGAAAGAAAATATGGTATATATACCGTGGAATGCTATTCAGCCTTTAAAAAGAAATTTTGTCATTTGAGACAGCGTTAATGGAATTGGAGAACATTATGCTGAGTGAAGTAAGCCAGGCACAGAAAGACAAATACTGTATGTTCTCACTTATAAGTGGAATCTAAAACAATCGAACTTAAAGGAGGAGAGAGCAGAATAGTAGTTACCAGAGGCTGGGGGTCTGGGGTAAATGGGGATATGATGGTTAAAGGTTACAAAGCTTCATTGGACTGGAAAAATAAGCTTTTCTTTTTCTTTGAGATATACTGCACAGCAAAGTGAATATAGTAAATAATTCTTGGACATTTCATAAGTGTTGAGGGTAAATATCTTTTTTACATTTTTAACATATTCCCTCCTCTGAATGTAGAGAGTAAATTTCAAACATTCTCACCACAAAAAAAGTAAGTATTTAAAAGTGATAGATGTTGGGCCGGGTGCAGTGGCTCACGTCTGTAATCCCAGCACTTTGGGAGGTGGAGGTGGGTGGATCACCTGAGGTCAGGAGTTGGAGACCAGCCTGGCCAACATGGTGAAACCCCGTCTCTACTAAAAATACAAAAAATTAGCCGGGCATGGTGGCGGACGCCTGTAATGCCAGCTACTCGGGAGGCTGAGGCAGAAGAATCACTTGAACCCGGGAGGCGGAAGTTGCAGTGAGCCGAGATTGCACCACTGCACTCCAGCCTGGGCAACAAGAGTGAAACTCCATCTCAAAAAAAAAAAAAGTGATAGATGTTAATTTGCTTGATTTAATCATCCCACAGTGTATTCATGAATCATAACATCACTTTGTACGCCATAAATATATACAACTATAATTTGCCAATTTACAATTAAAGGTTAAAATTTTTAAAAATAAAAGGTAATGACAACAAAAAAAATGGATAAGTAGACAGAAAAATCGATTAATACAGAAGCTGGCAAAAACTAGTAAAGCAAATATGGCAAAATGTAGAATTTGTTGAATCTTTCAGTATTTGGGTGTTTATTGTTCTTTTTCTATGTTAGAAATTTTTCAAAATAAAAAGTTGCAAATGATTTCCATATTATTCTGATTTTTACACAGTAACAGAAAACATTCCTGGCTGCAGCTCATTAATATTTCTTCTTTGTTCTCCTGAGGAATCAAAAGATTCTCATTTATGATATGTCAAAAGGCACATAAAGAAACATATCCAAACTTTGTTGTCTCTTCATTCAAGTTTGGCTTTAATATTTTATTAAAAATTTTTGTATTTGTAAATATTAAAACACTGAAACTTGCTACTGACACAAGAACGACAATGCACTAACAATAAAATCAAAGTAGAAGCTAAACTATTCAGAAGCAGTAGCAACTCCATGATTCCAAGGTAATTTAAACAGGCAATTTCAGAGTGCTTCAAGATGAAGGCGCAAAGCAGCCTCTCAGCCTGCAGTGATGCTACGACACCGGCAGATGGCGCTGCAAAGCTTCTCAAATGCAGCGGGAAGTCCATTTACCAACGGCTGTTGCGATCTCTTAATTAGCTTGAACTGAGTTTGTATTAGAATTTATAATTTTTACTGCATATTGCAGTTACTCGTATATTACTGACACTGGAACAGACATGTTTTAACAAACTGGTTGAGCCGTATCAGTGCGAACCAGCTGAATGTCAGCGCTGTTCCCTCCTGTGACAGAAGCCACCGGCGCCTGCCTGAGGGCACTCCCCTCACTGGGACTCTCAGTACCACGCCCACCTGTCCCCAAGGTTTGTTTCATCACTAAGCCCCACCTTCCAGCATTTTCACCTTTCTCCTTCACTTGATCCTTCTTCCTAACATCGTGTTAACACACTCCAAACTAAAAAAGTTCCTCAACTGCATATACTCTGCTCCCTCCATTTTTTTCTTTCATTGCAATCACTGCCAAACATTTTGAAAATTCTCTCCTCACCTCCACTGCCTTTACGCTTTTCCTCCAAATTATTCCTTAACCCTCTGACATCTGGGGCTTCTGATTCCACCTCTCCAAAGAAATGCTCCCACCAAGACCATGGAGGCCCCTCTCGTTGCTGGTGGATACTCGTTCATTTTCCCCGCCACCACCCATCAGCAGCGTTCCACGCCGCCCTTCCTTCCTTCCTTCCTCCCCTAGCTTCATCACACCACGTTACTAGGTTTTTCCTGTCTCACTGGCTCCTTTCCCTGCTCTCCTTTTTATATGTTTCCTGCTTTCTTCCTCAGCCTTCTCTGCTCCCCACACCTATATGTTGATGATGCCCAAATCTCTGTCTCCAGCCACGACCTCTCTTTCCCCAAGCTCCATTTGCATAAACTGTCTCTGATGAGATTTAGGGCGCTTACGGTGGTATGGCTGTAGACAACTGTCTCAGGAAACAGACCCATGACCCACCCAGTTGCCAAGTCAGAAACAGGATGTATACTCTTGACTTGTCTCTCTCCCCTACACAGCAAAACAATCCCAAGACATGTCAATTCTATCTCCTGAGCAACCCATAAAACGATTTCTCTTCTTTCCATCTTCCATTACCCTAATTCTGGTGTTCATTCTCTCTCCCTGGGATGGCTGTAAAAGCCTCTGATTTCTCCCCTTTCCAAACCAGTCTCCACACTGCAACCATAGTGATCTAAGGCACAATTCTCACCTTTTCAGTCTTAGGCTTAAAGTTCAACATCCCTCTGGATACAGTCTAAATCTTTAACACGGCTGAAAAGGCCCAGCAAGAGCTGGACCAAGCCCACCTCTCCAGCTTCACCTTTCCTCATTTCTCCTTTGCACCCTCTGCCTCTGAACAAGTTACAGTCTTCCAAAGTTGTCATGTTTCTTGACCTTTGCTGTCTCCTCTGCCCAGAATGCAATTTCCCTGTCTGGCTAACTCCTGTCCAGCATTTGGCCTCAGCATGGACATCTGTTCCTCTAGGACGCTTCCCCTGATTCACCAAGACCAGCTTAACTGCCCCTACTGGCTGTTCCTATAGCAATTCTTTACCACAGACTACTGATTTTTTGTGTTTGTTTTGTTTTGGCAGTCTGACATAACTTTATACTAATGCAGCTTCTAGCCCTGTCCCCCACTCCTTCCTGATCAGTATCCCAATGTCCCTCCTATATGGAGCCACCACTACCCCACAGGATCCTGTACCACCCTTCTCCCAGAACTTATCACACTTTTTTTTTGTAATTGTGTTTCCATTCTCCAATAAATTGTGAGTGCCACAAAGAACCATTTCTATCTCACTTACCACTTGGAAGTGACTGGCAGGTAGTAATTGCTCAACAAATGTTCTATGAGTGAATGAATCCTTGGGATAATTATAGTACTAACCATCTTATTTAGTTATGACAGTTCAATAGAAACACGTAAAATAATGCTTTTATAGTTTACATACTGCTATAGAGCTATTGTATTATATTATTATTATTCTATTCCTACCCTCTATTGCTTGAGAGTAGGATATTGCCTTATTCAATTTTGGTTATTGTCCCAGAACTCAGGGATATATGTCTGGCATATATTGTTTTTAACCAATTTTTGTTGACTGTATCAATGATTGTAAGAAGTGAACAAAGGGCCAGATAATTGAACTATCCTGGACCACACACAGCTACCCTGTTCCAGAAGCAGGACTATAATCCCATCTGGAAAAAGGGAAACTTGGAAGTTGACATCTAAATGAAATTCCAGCATGGATGAGAGAAGCCCTGATTTCTCTCCATCAAGAGACTAGCCAGCTATGGAAGCCACCAGAGCCCCAGACCTCCATGGTCAAGTATTCACATAGTAGACATGACCCAGACAAGAGGGTGCGTATTTCAGCGTGGAGGGGAGACTGGGCCCTTGGTTTCCTGTGTCTTTGTAGTCAGTTCTAACCTCAGCCTCAGGCACTGGTGTTGGGGCCCTATTCATCCTCATCTGCACGTCCCTCAGTTCTTTTCCTGTTGCTATTATCCTATAGAGTCAGCAAGTCATGGAAGAGGTTTTACAGTCTAACCCTGTGGGGGTGTCAGGAGTTGCCTCCTGCCAGGTCTTCAGCATAAAAATCCCCCCTCCTCAGCTCCCAGTCAATTCTTCATCCCCACCCCTAGACTCTCCCAAATACCCCTGATGAAACCCCTGAGGTGGAAAAAGATAAAGACAAGCAAAGATAAACAGCACAGGAAGCAGAGGTACAAATAGAATTCTGATTTTTCTCCTTTCTCTCCACATTTTGAGGAAATGAATCCAATGTCCTCACCCCACCTCCTGCAGCGGAGAAGTCCCCTGAGCATCTCTGAACATCATGAACCCTCAAAGTAAGCTTAGCTTGGGCCCCTTTTCCTTTTCTATCAGTGAGGCCAAAGAGCCCCAGATGGGAGACAGGTGGATTTTTCTCTCAGCTGGGACCTTTTCTCTTTCTTGTCTAGCACATTTTGGGAAACCTTCAAGTACATTCTCATGCTGGTATTATTTAAACTTTGCACTGGAGTGAATTCCAGGAGTTATGTCCACACTGAGACCAATGGAGATGAACCTAAAGCAATATGTGGCCAAACACCTTAGCCTCTTTAAATATACTTTCCTTTGCTCCTTGGTTAACAGGGTCTGTCTGCTCGCATTAGAGAAACTGCCCAGTGACTCAGATCCTGAAAGGATCTGCTTTAGAGAAAAAAGGAGTCTGGTACTTCTCACTCCATCTAGTGGGCAACCTGTCCAACTACACTTTTTGCTATCATCCAATACAGACAACACTGGCAGTCAATAAAAAAGCTCATTCTCCCATTTCTAAAAGAATTCAATCTAGGAGTCTAGCTGCTGGCTTAACAAAGGGATATACAGCAAAGCCTAAGGTGCCCTGACTCACGAGAGAGCTGATTTCTGCCGAAATGCTGAGGTGAAACCCTAAAATGGTTCTGGCCACCTGCTAGGTTCTAGCTCAGACCCTGCACTGGATCATCTTTGTTCCACCCCCAAACCAGAGTAAATGGAATTCAGGAGGCTGGTTCTGTGCCCGCCCCTATGTACCTCAAATACTCGTAGCTGCCAAGCTTTTAAACAATGAAACTTAACACTGTACTTAAAGGGCTGTTCTGCTCAAATCATAAATGTGCACGCTAGTTGTTCACCAGTAATTAAAACTACTCGTACACATTTAATCAACATTTTCACAAGCGTTTTGCCTTAACTAAAAATTTGTATCAACATGAAGTCCTAGAATTATACTGCATGAGCCCCCAGGATTTGGAGAACATCATTCACCCTTCTTAATCCAAAAACTTGGGTGCCTGAAGGTGGGGTTTTGATCATGGCCAGGCTTCAAATTTAGGTCAGGCTCTGGTGGTACATCCTTATATGCTTGGTGCTCAGCACAGGTCAAGACACACAATAGACCCTCAATAAATATTTGCTGAATTTGAACAATTCCTGTAAAAATCTCATTAAGAGACATCAGCTTGGGACACAGTTCCTCTCTTACTGTTCCTTCTCCCAGAAGCTCCTGGAATGAGCAGGTCTGGCGGCAGGGGGCACACAGGGCTGCTGCTCAAATCGGAGAATGGCACAAACTCCAAAAGGGAGCTGGATTTAGACCTCCCCTCCCCATGTAGATAACGGGATTCCTAAGGTGCAGAGTGGGAGAATGGGTAGAGGAAGCAGGTTTCAGAGACTGAGAACCTACTAAACTCCTAAGAGAACTTTCCCTTGCAAAGAGAATGCATGAAAAAAGAAGGGAGAAGAGGAGAGAAGCCTCCCACAGCTGTTAGCCTGGAACAGCCGCTCTCACCTCAGTTCATCTGGGGAAGGGGCTACAAAGCAAACAATCTTTATTCACAATTGGGGTGGCAGAGGGGAGATACCCCCAGGTCAGTCCAAAAGCAAAGATACTGGGAGGGAAGATGGCGCTGGGCGAGGAACTCAGCACTCATCCTCACCCAGCAGGGCATAAGGGTTTCGGCCAGCCAGGCTGGACCCTGGAGCCGAGGTTGGGGTCTCCTCATCCCCTTCTCCCTCCTCATCCGCATCCCGGTCCTCCTCTCCCTCCTCCTCACAGGAGCTGCTCAGCTCTTCCTCTTCCTCCTCCTCCTCGTCACCTGCTGGCCCCACCCTGCCCTGCAAAACCACCAGCTCCGTGGTCTCTGGATGGGACTCCCAGGTGCCTGGGGAACCAAAACAAGAAAAAAATGGAGGAGAGTTTTGAGCAAGAACTAAAGCCAAGGAAAGATGGGGAAGAGGCAAAGACTAGGAATAACAATAATCTTTAGAGCTGCTGGCATTCATTCATTCATCCATTCATTCAACTTCCTATGTGCAGATTGCTGAACAGAACCTTTGTGCACATCAACTTCAATCTTTACAATCACTATGCTAAGGGTCAATTATTACCCTCAGTTTGCAGATCAGGAAAATATCACAGATGTTAAGTAACAGAGCTAGCCAACAGGTACAGAATCCAGGTTTGACCCTCTCTCTGGCCACAAAGCCCACACCCTTTTACCTACGCTATAGCAGGGGGCTGGGGAAGAATATCTGGGCTCTGACCTTTCTGTTCACTGTAGCCTGGGGGATGAAAACACAGGCTGAGGCGGCCGTCCACTGCCAGCCGCAAGAGACTGTTGGCTGCTCTGTACACATCATTCCGAGCCGCCTTGGCTGTCTTGTAACCACGTTTCTCTGCCCAGGCTGGAGGAAGAAAAGAATAATGGAAAGGGAAAGCATTAACCAGGTACCAGTTATACTCCCACTCCCATAACACAGTCCTTCCAGTTTTCCCCAAAACATTCCAGGCCAGAGATCTTACTGGCTATGCAACAAAAATCTAGGGGTGAGTGGACAGCAGCTTCATCAATGGCAGAATCTCTGAGGAGAGGAAAGGAGACAGGGAAGGGTAAAAGGCGAGGCAGGTAAGGAAGAGCAGCTGAAACCAGGTGGGGCGAAGCCAGGCACATGGAACTCACCTTCACAGATGTCCCAGGCACACCAGGGGTGTTCCGCTGAGGGGTCCTCAGCCTCTGGGTGGCGCAGGTGGAGCAGGGCCTGCACGGGAATTCGGGAGGCCAGGTAGCCCACAGCAGTGTAGGGCTCCTGGATCTGGGCGATAGGGTAGATCCCTGCCAGAACCTGAGGGAAATGAGCACTCAGTACTTTCCTCAATGTCCCACCTTCTCTCTTTCCCTTACCCACCCTCCCCGTCATACCTGCAACTGCCTAGGCAGAAGAGATGGGAAGATGAGGCCTGGGCAGTCACAGAGCTTCACAGAGGGGGTAAGAAAGTAGGTCTGAAAGTATCGGGTATGGCCCGGGGTTCTGGAGACACTCACGACTTTCCGCCCCACCAGCCCATTGATCAGCGAGGACTTTCCCACATTAGGGAAACCTGAGGAAGGCAAGGAAAATTAACGTTTAACAGGTTTCTACTCTGTGATGGGACTTGGTGCTATACCTATAGGTAAAAGGGGAACTAAGGCTCAGAAATTAAGGAAATGGTATTGCAGAATACAAATCACGCTCTGGGCTGCCAGGGTTAAATCCTGGCCCTTCCACTTACCAGCTTTGTGATGTCAGGGCAACTAACTTTCTGAGCCTCTGTTTCTTCATTTTACAGTGTGGACACCTCCCTACCTCAGGGTGGTCAGGATTAAATGAGATAACCAATACAACTTGTGTGGGTCAGTGCCTGCAGTACAGTAAGTACCCAGTACCAGTGATCCACATCTCATAATTACTATGACTTGGCCTGGCACAGTGGCTCACGCTTGTAATCCCAGCGTGATTACTTTGGGAGGCCAAGGCGGGTGGATCACCTGAGGTCAGGACTTCAAGACCAGCCTGGCCAACATGGTGAAACCCCATCTCTACTAAAAATACAAAAATTAGCTGGGCGTGGTGGTGGGCGCCTGTAATTGCAGCTACTTGGGAGGCTGAGGCAGGAGAACCACTTGAACCCAGGAGGCGGAGGTTGCAGTGAGCTGAGATTGCACCATTGCACTCCAGCCTGGGCAATAAGAGGGAAACTCCATCTCAAAAAATAATAATAATAATTACGATGACTTGTCCAAGGAGAAAACTGGAAGCCTTGGGGCTCACTGCCACTCTGCTCACTCACCACCACCAGTTTTTGTGTTTCTGGCTGACTTCAGTGCCTTCATCTCCCTTCCACAGAGCATCTCCTTTACCCCACCTCAGCTGCCCACTCCCATGGTAATACCTGCATCTTGTCACTTCACAGCTCCAAAGCCTCAATTCCAAGCACCCCTCTCTGCCCTGACAACTCATCTTTCCAGCTCACTTACTCTGGTTACTCCATGCCAGTAAGTCTTTGACCCCTGACCTTAACACAGTAACACTATGCAATACCCAACTCGTGTCCTCAATTTCCTTCTTACTTGACTCAGATTTCATGATCCAGCTCCTCAGCCAGGGCCGTTCACAGACCTGGAACTCCCTGGTCCCACTTCTCCCCTCTATCTTACTCACCTGGCAAAATCCCAACCCTGTAAAATCCAGCTCTGCCCATTCAGCACTGCTCCTGGGCAGCTGACTGTGGCTAAGAAAAGATGTACCACTGTGCTCACTCTTTACAACACATGCAAGTATCTAGGAGGAAGGGAGGGAAGGAGGGAGAAAAAAGTTCTCCTTTGACGACCACCACCAGACCTAGTTCTCTGTCCGCTTTGCAGGAAAACTCCTTAAAAGACTTACCTACTTTTTTCACCATTTCTTCCTGCTATCTTCTTTGTAACTGTAAACTACAACATACAAAAAAATGCACAGAACATACATGTGCAGCCTGATGAACCCCATACCACCCAATGTGTGACAACATGTTCCATCTGTCCTTGTTTTTTTTTGTTTTTGTTTTTGAGACAGAGTCTCACTCCCTCACCCGGGCTGGAGTGCAGTGGTGCGATGTTGGCTCACTACAACCTCATCCTCCCAGGTTCAAGCGATTCTCGTGCCTCAACCTCCTGAGTAGCTGAGACCACAGGCGTGCGGCTCCACACCTGGCTAACTTTTTGTATTTTTAGTAGAGATAGGGTTTTGCCATGTTGGCCAGGCTGGTCTCAAACTCCTGACCTCAAGTAATGCGCCTGCCTCAGCCTCCCAAAGTGCTAGGATTACAGGGATGAGCCACCATACCGGCCGCCACTCATCCTTCTTGATCATAATCCTCTCCCTCTATACATGCAAGCTTTATCCTTTTAAGGAAATCAACTCCTTACATTTCTCTTTAGTTTATGACCTGTGTATCTCTCAACAATGCAGCTTAATTTTGCAGCTTTCAAACTTGATAGAACTGAAATTGTGCAGTATGGATGCTATTGGGTCAGACTCTTTTCACACAATGTTATGTGAAGTTGTTGCACCTTCTCTCATGGGCCTACTCCAGTTTGGCTTTCTCCACCCCACTGAAACCACGGATCTTCACATTGCCAAGCCTGCTGAGCAGCTCTCTGTTCTCTCATTTGGCCTGTCAGCAACAGTTGACACAGCTGATTCCTCCTTTCCTCTTCAAACACCTTCTTCATTTGACTTCTGGGACGCTCCCTTGGTTTTCCTCCTTCTCACTGTCCTTTGCCCAACTAAATGCTGGCTTGTCCTAAGGCTCAGTCCTTGACCTCCTCTTCTCCAACTATTTCCTTTCTCTCCTACATCTCATCCAATTCCATGGCTTTTTTTTTTTTTTTTTTGACGAAGTCTTGCTCTGTCACCCAGGCTGGAGTGCAGTGGTATGATCTTGGCTCACCGTAACCTCCGCCTCCAGGATTCAAGCAATTCTCCTGCCTCACCCTCCTGAGTATCTGGGACTACAGGCACGCACCACCACACACGGCTAATTTTCTGTATTTTTTGGTAGAGACAGGGTTTCACCATGTTGGCCAGGCTGGTCTCAAACTCCTGGCCTCAAGTGATCCACCTGCCTCAGCCTCCCAAAGGGCTGGGATTATAGGCATGAGCCACTGTGCCCAGCCTAATCCTGTGGCTTTAAATACCACTTATATCCATCAATGGTTCCCCAAATTTAAATCTTTCCCAAATTCAAATTTCCGTCCTCTTCTCTCCCCTAAGCTGCTGACTACTTACCCACTGCCTATTCAACATCTCCACTAGGGATATTTAAAAAGAATCTGAAATTTCATTTCTGATTCCCCTCTCCTCCCCAAAGCCTTCAAATCTGCTTCTCCCCCAGTCTTCCCATCTCAGTATTTCCAGTTGCTCAAGACAAAAACCTGGAAGTCCTTCTTTATCCTCACTTTCCTTCACGTGCCAACTGCAAGCCATCAGCGATCTCATTTTCTCTACCTTCAAAATATATCATGCTTCCGGCCCTGTCTCACCACCTCCAGCTCCAGCATCCTACTCTAAGCAACTCTTATTTCTCTCCTAGATTACTGAAATAGCCTCAACTGCTCTCTCTGCTCCCTTTCTTGCCCACCCCCCATCATTTATTCTCTACTCAGGAGGTAAACTTATAAGAAACAAAATCAGATCCTATCATTCCCCTGTTCAAAACCTACCCTTGGCTTCTCATGAGACTTGGAATAAAATCCAAAATGGCTGTCACAGCCTCAGGGCTCTACATGATGTGGGCCCTGGTGATCTTGCTGACCTCATCCCCAGTACTTTATCCTGGCTCCCATACTCCAATCCCCTGGGCACTCTTGCTGGTCCTAGAATCTCCAAGCCCATTCCCTCCTCAAGACCCTTTCCCCACAGTTCTGAATGGCTCACTTCATCTCATCATCCAGTTCTCTCCTCAGGGAGGTTTTCCCTGAGCACCTCTCCTCTCAGTCACTCTCTATCCCCTTTCATTGCTTTATTGCCTTCACTGCCCCTACATGATTTCGGATCACAAAATCTATTTACTCACAAGAAAATAAGCTCCATGAATCTACAGACCTTTTTGCCATTTCCACAGCAGTATGTCCCATCCCTAGAATATCTGGCACCTGGTTAAGTGTTCAGTACATATTTGTTGAATGGGTAAATGAATGAGAGCTGGAGGGAAATCCAAACTCAGGGGTGCCTGTGCCACAGCAAACACTCTCCCTCTCACACCACCTGGAATAGAGATCAGCTAGAGCAGAGGCTGCTAAGAGAGGGAACAGAGGCTCCTTGTGACAGGGAGACTAGGATCAGAAGTCAGGGAAGGGACAGCCGGGTGAAATGACTGGAAAGAGGAGCAATCACTCAGCAGTAAGGCAGGTTCTTCCAAAGACAAAAAGGACACAGAGATAAGTCAGGGCACTTCCAAGGAACCCAACTACCTACTCCACACTCCCAAATTTATTCTGGGTTGGGCCCTTTTTGGTTCCAATATCACCTCGGATACCATAACTTGTCCAAGGTCTCTTCTTACCTCTCCCACCCTAAATGAAGACGGGCCCTGGGTCCTAATCATACATTCCTTTTTCCTCCACTGTGAGCTGAGACAAAGCCCTTAAGAGGAGATTCTCCTTGGCAACAAACTTAAAGGGTTAAAACCTAGAAGAATACTAATTCTTGCTGAGCTCCTACTATGATTTGATAATCACTGTACTACAGACTAATTACTACAATTCAAATGGTTTATATAAACCACTTAAAACAGTGCCTGTTACATAGTAAGCACCATATAAATACTGAGTTTTAACAATAATAATTGTTATTATTGTTATCACTATTTGTCAGGCATTCTTACACTCTCTTAACACTATTCCCATCATTCCTCACATCCATTCTTTTTTTTTAAAGACAGGGTCTCTATCAGCCAGGCTGGAGTGCAGTGGCACAATCATAGCTCACTGCAGCCTTGAACTCTTGGGCTCAAGTGATCCTCCTGCCTCAGCCTCTGAAGTAGCAGAGACTACAGGCACATACCACCACACTTGGCTAGTTTTCTTTATCTTTTGTAAAGATGGGGTTTCACTATGTTGCCCACACTAGTCTTGAGCTCCTGGTCTCAAGCAATCCTCCCACCTCAGCCTCCCAAAGCGCTGGGACTATATAGGCATGAGCCCTCACACATGGCCGTCATCCATTCTTTTACTCAGGTATCAATGTCCTTATTTTTAAAATCAAAGTAACTAAGACTCAGAGTAGCAAAATCACTTACTCAAGACCTCACAGCTGAGAAGAGGTGGAATTTAACTCAGGCTGTCATGATCCTTCCACTGCAGCAGACGCCTCTTCTGCCTTGCCCACCGCCACTGGCAGAGATCACCCCTCAGACACCCTGGGGCCTAATGAGACCTGATCGCCCTCTCTCTTCTCCGAATATGAAAACTCTGTACCTCCTTGGAGGCCACCACGCACAAGCTGCCACTTCCTTACCCACACAGCCGATGGTCACCACCCCATCCTTGTAGCGCTCTTGGGTTGGGCCAGTTGGCTCCATTGCTGAATCAGTCTGCTGCTCCACCAGGACTGCTGGGCCATCCTCCTCTTCCTCCTCCTCCCCAGAGCCATTACCCCAGGTGGCCCCAGCCACATCCCGAGCAATCTTCTCCCGCCAGCTGCTCAAGTCCACTGCTCAAAGAAGGAGAAGATTAAAGAGGTTCTCCCCAGGGCTGCTGTGCATGATGGCACATACTGTGCCCTGCACAGATTATGTAACTGGCACCCTCTGGAGTTGTACAGTGCCAACCTAAATAAGAGCAGGTCAGAGAATCTCCCAAAAGTCATTTGACCCTACCCTCCCTGGAATCACGCACGTTTCTCTGAGCTTCTGAAAAGTACTGGGAAGGCTAAAGGCAGCAAGCCACTGAGGCTCCTGACTACCTGCTGCCTCTCGTCCCACCAAGTCAGTCTGCTCCTTATTCTGTCCCTTCCCCTGGCCTCTTGCACATATCCACCATAGAGGGGTTGGCTTCAGGAAAGGTGAGCAAAATGATTCTGCATCTTTGGTCTCCCCCATGTCCTCCTACAGCCCTCCTCTAAGGGCCACATACCTTTCCCCACAGTGATGGCTTCACAGGCTCTCAGCAACTGCTCTGGCCCCAGGGCCCGAGTCCATCCTCTCCCCCGCCTCCGACTCTTCTTCAAGACTGAGATCAGAGGGCACAAAAGGATGGGCACACGGGCTTAGGCCTCTCATCTCTCCCACCACCCTTAGGCCCAAGACCAGGTGCCCCCTTGTCAATAAGCCTCTCTGTTCTCCCCTTTGTCCCCTGCCAACTCACCTCTCCCAAGTTGCCCTCTCTCATTGCCCACTCACCACTACTAGGATCCTGTGGGGTGCGGGGGTCCCGAGGAAAAGAGGTGAAAAGGACGACGTGGAGCTGGGGATAGTGTTGATGGAAATAATGCTTCCAGGCAACCACAAGAGCTGGCGGGGCCAGATCCACCTTGTTCAAAACCAGCACCAGGGCCAGTCCAAGTTCTCCAGTCACATACTCATAAAGTGCTGGCGGGAAATTCACAACCTAGGACAGAGTTGATAAGAGGATGGAGCAGTGAAAGTCAACCCAGAGTTCTCTGCCTCCAGCTCCCCACTCAGCAGGTGTAGCTCAGAGACAAGGCCCTGGTGGTAGCAGACTCTGGGCTAAAAACTATAAACCAGACAAACTGAAAAACAAAGACAAAACAGGGGTTAGTAATACTTCTGAGTCTCAGAGGGCTTCCTATAGGTCATGATTAGAGATGGAAATGAACCCAAAACAAGACAAGGAAACAGCATCACTTAGCACACTGAGGTAAAGGCTGGGATCGGAAACAGGGATGGGGGTTAGGGTAGAAATTAGTCTGCTTTTTTGTGTGTGCACAACTATGTAAGTGTGTACACGTGCATATATGCATGCATGCAAGTACGTGCACATGTGTGCATGTTTGTGTGTTAATGTGACTGTGAACATGTGTGCAAACATGCCTGTGTATATTGATGTGCACATGATGTACGTGTGAGTATGTGTGTGTACATATTATTAAGGACCTCCAACCTAAATGGTCCTCACAGACCTCCCTTTCTCCCACTGGAGGACAAGAGTGAAGTTGCAGAGCTAGGATTCACACAGGGCAGTCCAGCAGCAGTCTACAGCCTTAACTACTACTCTAGCATTCCAGGTGGGTTCTGTAGCAACTGATGTGGCAGTGCTAGAGAAATGAGATAAGGAAGAAAGGGCATCTTTGGGCTGGGCAGGAGGAAGTCCCCAGCTGCATTCATAGAATCCCTGGAGCTCCAACACTTGGATTTTCTATTGGTCTGTGATGAGCTAAAGGACAGGACATGGCTGTTTTGAAGAGAAGAGTGAGCTGGCCC